>NC_000006.12:62004321-62307351 GCF_000001405.40 Homo sapiens | reverse complement strand
AAAGATATTATCAGAGAGACTAAAAACTTATGACCCAATTTTATGCTGTTTATAAGTACACTAACTTTAGGGCCGGGCGCGGTGGCTCATGCCTGTAATCCCAGCACTTTGGGAGGCTGAGGCGGGCAGATCACGTGGTCAGGAGATCGAGACCATCCTGGCTAACACGGTGAAGCCCCGTCTCTACTAAAAATACAAAAAAAAAAAAAAAAAAATACCAGGGCGAGGTGGCGGGCGCCTGTAGTCCCAGCTACTCGGGAGGCTGAGGCAGGAGAATGGCGTGAACCCGGGAGGCGGAGCTTGCAGTGAGCCGAGATCGCGCCACTGCACTCCAGCCTGGGCGACAGAGAGAGACTCCGTCTCAAAATAAATAAATAAATAAATAAATAAACAACTTTATATGCATAAAAGTAAAGGGTAAAATTGAAAGACTGGAAAATTATAAAGTATGAACCCCTTAACCATAGAAATATATAGTAGCAATAATTGCCTAATATCCCAGAATATTAGAGGTAACCTCAGTCATTTCATAATGACAAAGGAGTCAACTTATCTGAGGGTCATAAAAATCCTAAAGGTACATGCACTTAACTGAGCTTCAACATGCCTGAAGAAAAATTTATAGAACTGAAAGAATAAATAGAAAAAAAAAATCATAATTTGAATTCAATAACTTCCATCAAAAATTGATAGAAGAAATAGAAAATCAGTTAAGTATGTTGGAGATTTCTCTGATTAATTGATAGTTGCATAGATAAATGATAGATAGATAGATAGATAGATAGATAAATAGATAATCACATTCTACCCAACAACAATCCATGGAAGATTAACAGAGATGGGCCTTGTACTGAAAATTAAAATGTGTCTCAGTAAATTTAAGGTTATTCACATCAGAGTATGTTCTCTACCAAAACAAAATTAAATAAGAAATTATTAACAGAAAAATATCCAGATAATCTTCAAGTATTTATAATGTAAACAATATTCTTCATATAATGCACAGGTAGAAGACTTTTAAAGTAAATTAAAAATCATTGGAATTAAATGAAAAAAGAATGATAGTATCAAATATTGATGGGGTTAGGAGTAACCAGAACACTCATACTTAGCTAGTAAGAATTATAAAACAAACAAACAAAATACCCTTTGGAAAGTTTGCCACTTCTTATAATATTAAATATTTACTTATGATTACATGAAGAAATTATATTCCTAAGAATTTTCTCTATAGAAATGAAAATATATATCTACACAAAGACCTGTACATGAATCTCATACTAGCTTTATAAATAATAAAAAGAAAACTGGGTAATCCAAGTGTCCACACAAATAAATGGATGATCAATTTGTGATATAATATAATAAGAGTAATAAATTTAAAAATTGCTGATACATCCTACCATGTATTACAGAAGAACCTCAGAAATTATATGTTAACCAAGAGAAGCCAAATACAATGGATTGTGTAATGTGTGATTTTAATTATACAAAATTTTAGAAAAAACAAAAACCAATTTACGATTACAGAAATGTTTTCTGTGGTATCTGAAGCCAAGGACTTGGGAGTGAGTAAATGTGAAGGACCATAATGGAAACTTCTGTGGTGTTGGATATATTATACATCTTGATTGGAGTAGTGGTTACATGGGTTTATGTAAGTTTCTCAAAATTCATTAAACTGTACATTCAAAATGGGTAAATTTATTATATGTAAGTTACACCTTAACAAAGTTGACTTAAAACAAGAGTAAACACATTGAAATGACATATATGAAGTGCTGTGAAAAAATTCTGTCACTGTAGAGTACCATGTTTACTGAAAATGCCTTTCAAGAATAAAGGCAGTAAATACGCTGTCAAATAAACACATATCGAAGACCTGCATTAAAAGAAATACTGACAGAATTTTCAACTAAGAAAAATTGTTTCAAACAGAAATATCAAAAGAAAATGTGGGATTTGATAAAGGAGTCAATTGAGCAGGAAGATATAATCCTAAATTTTTATTTAGATAATAAAATAGATTCAAACATATAGAGCAAAAATGGACATAACTAAAAAGATAAACATAGTTGTCTACAATCACGGTGAAAATTTTTAACATAACTCTCTCAAGAGCTGATAGAACAAATTGCTTAAAAACTAGTAAGTATACAAATGACTTAAACAACTTTGACATATTAATACCTGTTGTATACTGAAGCTAACAGTGACAATTCACAAACTTTCTAACAGCATAAGGAATTTTACCAAAACTATAAGTGATGGGATAAAGAAAGCCTAAACAAATTTCACATGATTAAATTGATTCAGAGTGTGCCTTCTGACCTCAGTGGAATTAAATTAAAGGTCAATAACTAGGACATCCCAAACAGGCTGGAAATTAAGTAATACTCATATGCATCATATATGATTCAAATACAAATAAAAGGTAAATTAGAAAATATTTTATACTGAATGACAACAAAAACATAACTTGTAGGATGCAGATCATACGTGATCAGAGGGGAATTGTAATCTTAAATGCAAGTACAATAAAAGAACATCTGGGCCGGGTGCAGTGGCTCACACCTGTAATCCCAGCACTTTGGGAGGCTGAAGCAGACGAATCACCTGAGGTCAGGAGTTCAAGACCAGCCTAGTTAACATGGTGAAACCCTCTCTCTACAAAACACACACACACACACACACACACACACACACACACACACACACACACACACAAATTAGCCTGGAGAGGTGGCAGGTGCCTGAAATCCCAGCACTTTGGGAGGCTGAAGCGGACAAATCACCTGAGGTCAGGAGTTCAAGACCAGCCTAGTCAACATGGTGAAACCCTATCTCTACTGAAAAAACAAAAAACAAACAAAAAAACACACACACACACAAATTAGCCTGGAGTGGTGGCGGGCGCCTGTAATCCCAGCTACTCAGGAGGCTGAGGCGGGAGAATTGCTTGAACGCAAGAGGCGGAGGATACAGTGAGCCGAGATCGCGCCACTGCACTCCAGCTTGGGTGACAGAGCAAGACTCAGTCTCAAAAAAAAAAAAAAAAAATCTGAAAACCATTGATCTAACTTGTCATCTCAAATGCTAGAAAAAATACCTGCAAACTAAACATTAAAATATAGATGGTAATAAAAATAGAAATTAATTAAATAGAAAAAGTATATGAAAGAGAAAAGCAACAAAGCCAAATGATGGTCCTTCAAAATAGCTATTTAAAATGACAAACACAGTATTGTTGGTCAATAAATCCCAGTCACAACCAAATAGGTTTTATTTCAGAAATGTAAAAGGTTTTACTATTTGACAATTATTTAATTTAATTCACTATACTAATATTAAAATGAAAATATATAGTTGATCTTTAAATAAACTGTAGAAAAAGCATTTGATAATAATAAACACCAATTCATGGTAAAAACTTGTAGCAAACAAAGATAGAGTGAAGTATCTTTAATCAAAAAACATTCAACAGAATCACTCTAACAAATATAAATAATCATGAAAAATTGAGACATTTCCTCCTGAGAAGAGAAAAATAAGATAGTGCAGCACCATTTCTATTCAATAATGTACTAGAAAAACTAACCAGTGGGGGGAAAAAAAGAAAACAAGACAGATAATTTTAAAGGTCAAGTTAAGTGGCTCACTCCTGTTATCCCAACAGTTTGGGAGGCCAGGGCAAGAGGATTAAGGCCAGGAGTTCAAGATCAGTGGAGGCAACAAAGCTGGACACCCATCTCTACACAAAATTTTTAAAAATTAGTGGTGGTATATGCCTGTAGTCTCAGCTACCTTGGAGGCTGATCCTACCCTTCGATATCTTCGGTTAAGGAATTCGAGGTTACAGAGGTTACAGTGAGCTAAGATTGCACCATTGCACTTCAGCCTAGGTGACAGAGAAAAACTGTCTCCCCTGCTTAAAAAAAAAAATCAAAAGGACTAAAAAATAAGTAATATAATTGTCCTATTGCAGTAATACCACATGTATGAAGAAAATTCAAAATAATCTAAAGATTGTTTCATTTCTCAATGTAATAAAATATGCTAGAAGATACCAGTGAAACTTATTCTAATTGATAAATATAATTTCTGATTTGATGAAAATGATAAGTTCCAGTAAGATATACTTCTTTTTAAAAAAATATCAAAGTAAATTAAAAAAAAAAAAACAACAAAGGAAACATGGAGAAAAGTTTTGTCCCAAGGCGGGGGTGGGGAACCACAAGGACCACACATTTTTTCATGTGAGAATATCATCAAATAGAAATGTAAGTAACGTCAAATATACAAAAAAAAAATAATATTTACCTGGAAGATTGGGGGTTAAGATAGCACAAGGCAAGGATAAAATTTGGGAGAGGGCAAGGATGCTAACTTATGTTCAAGAAGGAAATGTAGCAACCTCAGGGTATGAGCCATTGGCCAGCTACATATATTTCCTCAACGCCACAGGAAGGAAGTCCAGCCAGGTACTCACCTTTTATGTTATATGGGCACAACAAGGAAAGCTGTAGGTGAAAAGATATCTGTACATCACTGAGAGGGTGTACCTTCCTGATTCAAAAGAGAAGATGAAGTAGGAGGTGGATAGCCTTATGAAAACCCCAAATACATTAGGAAACATCAATGGGAAGGAAATGAGTGAGGGGGTGGTGTGTAAATAATTGCTGTCATCCTAATTGTTCAACAGTCAGCTTAAAAGACTTAACTTGGAGTTAAAAATCACTGGGTTGGCAATACACAGTGTTTAAATATGCAAACTAATTGTAAATGTAAGGTTACTTCTAAAGGCACAATTTATGTATGGATCAAATTATTGTTTACTTCTTTGACATAACCATTAACAATGAATGATATACTAAATAAGTTCATGAGCAGTTAAGCTTGTTTTTGTTGACTTAGAAGTATAGCATAAACATAATGACAGGCTTCACTTGAACACAGTTATTTGCGTATACATATATGTTATTTCAGTGGGATGTGAACTCCTTCAGACGAGAAGCTATTCAGCTATTCATTTCTCTTTTGTATCCACTCATCACCTAGTACAAATCCTTTTATATAATGAGTACCTAATGACTGTAAGCATGATATGGTTTGGTTTTTGAATATAACGTCTTTACATTTGAATCTAATACTAAGAACAAGCAATTTGCATGATGGTTTACTCTGTATAGATAGTCAAATAGTAGAATTTTAAGATATTATGCAATGATATGCTAAAGAAAAGTAGGACATTAAAAAAAGAATCTAGGGAAAAGAACTCTCTATATAGCTAAATTATTATTTTCTATGAAAATGCATTCCAGCCTTTTCCCTACTGGATGCACTGTAATTTCCCTGGCTAGAATTGGCAGTGTCCTTTAATTTACTCCCTTCACTTCTCATTTAAATATCATGCACTAGATGATCATTCTTGATTTTACTACTTTTTACTGCCTATGGGCTTTTTTTTCAACTCATTTAAAAGGCATTATGCTTTGATAATGGACTGTCTGAAGATGGAACTGAATTATAATTTTTTAAACTTCAATTTAATCAATGCCAGAGGCTACCCAGAGATACAGGTTTGCTCACAAAAAGTTCTACTCTAGTTCAACTCTTTATATATTATTGTTATTGGAAAATATTTAGAGTGTATATACATGAATATGTGTGGATAAATATGTAAATATATTTTCAAAAGTAGTTTTCATGATGATAACAAGATATCTTGGAATTTTTATGGCTTTATTTACAGGATGAACATACAAGAAAGAAGAAATTTTTAGTAGTAGCAAAACAGGCCTTGGGATTTGGCAGACCTAGCTTTGAATTCTTGTTCTGCATTTTTCTAGCTATGTTACTTAATTTCTTTGAGTCTGGAAAATGATGATGGCAAGCCATATTGCTAAGGTCCAAATTAAATAACATTGTAAATCACCAACATGGTAGAAAGCCTTCAAAAACATTGGTATTCCCCTTAAGAAAAATTAGAGAATCTACTGGCCTAAATCTAGGTGGTGGCGGTTGGTTTTTGTTGTTGTTGTTGTTTTTGTTTTTTGCTCTGGAATACATAGCAACCAAAAAAGAGTAAATTGCATGTTTGCACAGCAACTTAATCTGCTTATGAGTAACATAAAGCAAACAGCAACCAAATCTACTTCTGAGTAACATAAAGGAAAAATAAACTAAGTTCAGCGAGACTTCCTAAGCTGGCTACAGGTCTTCCGGTAAAATTATAATTAACTATGAATGTTATAAGAAATTTTGCAGATGTATTCAGTTTTGCCTGATGGACTTAGCACATATTTAAAACAAATATGAAGAATTTGGTATTTTTAATATATATCACAAATGAAGTCTTTATTTTGCCTCAAATTGGTGCCTTTTCAATTTTTCCCTATTTACTCGTGATAGCACCATCTACAAAATGATTGCTCAAGCCACATATCTTGGATTAATTTTTGATATTTTTATTTCCCTCACTCTTCTATACCCAATCTTTTGTTTAAGTCCTTTGTGCTCTACCTCCAAAATATATCTTTAATTTGTCCTCTTCTCCTTTTACCCACTATTATTATAGCACAAGCCATTGCCACCTTTCATTTGAGCTACTACATTAGTCTCCTGAATTAAGTATTACCTGCAATCATAGAAACATCCAAAATAACTATTACTTTAAAAGTTAGTTGTTTTCTCTCTAACATAAAATAAATGAAAAGTTAAGTAATCCAGAACTGGTATGGTAGTTCTATGAAGCTGTCAGAAAGAATTAAGCTAGAGCTCACTAGGTAGGTGTGATTCCCAAGCCTATGTTATAGTCTATGAAGACTGATAGAACTCCAGCTATCACAAGCAGCAGTATGGAGGAAGTAGAGCAGAAGACTCTGCTCCTCCCATTAAAGAGACCACCTATAAGTACATATGACACTTCAATTTTCAGTATATTGGCCAGAAATTAGTCATGTTTCAATTAGCTGCAAGGGAGCCTGTAAAATGCTTCTAGGTCAGTGTGACTCACTAAGAACTGGGCTTCTGTTTTTATCTGCTTCTTGTCTACCTCTCTAAATTATGATTCAATATGCTCCTATTACACTTCAGTCATCTAAGTGTATACTAAGGTTTCTCCCTCTTTATGATCTTAGCACACACTATGTTTTCTGCCTAGGAGGTTCCAACTCCATCTCCCACCTCCCTCCGCCGCTGGATAACTACTTGTCTTTCAGGTTTTGCTCTAATGCAGCTTTTTCAGATAGATTTCCCAGATAACCCAATCAAAATTGCTACCTCTCATCAACGATCTGTTTCTCTTGCTCAGGGGGCCCATTTTTATTCTTCATAAAAATCATTGTCCATTTTCTTGTTTGATTTCAGTCTATCTCACTCTCTAGTCTAAAAAAAGGTCTGTGAGAGGACTGTGTTTCTTTTTTCTCAGTGTGCAAAGCCTGGTATTAGAAAAAAAAAAAGAAAAAAAAGAAAAGAAAGGAAGTAAGGGAGGGAGGAAAAAATGGAAATAAATAAAGGAAAATAGAAAATAGAAATTTATTTGAAAACCCAGGTATGTTGTTATCTTTTATAGACTGATTGTTTGGCTTTCACATGCCTTTTGGACACTTTCCATGTTCTTTGCCTCACAGTTATAGTTCAGAAAAAGATACATCTAATTCAACAAACATTCATTGAGTGAATAATTTGATCTTAAATGGAAAAACAATCAGCACTGATTTTTCAGTTCTGTTTTGCTGTTTCAAAATAATATTATAAAATCAATACCCACTGGATTCAACTCTCCAAGTGAAAATGGAACAGGGTGAATGAAGAGTTTTAAATCATATTTAGACAATGCCTCCTAAGAAAATGGCTTGAATGCATTTTAGAATAAGGTATGTGAGTAAAGGCTAACAGGTCTCTCTGCAAATACAAGCACAAAAATATAGGAATTAAATTTGTGTATTTGAATTACAATTGTCTGCTGCTATAATTGTATGTAAGAAAGTAAAATTACTTTAAAAGGCCTTTTGCCTGTGTGGTAATGAGTATGAAAGTGTTCTATTACATACACGATCATTTATTTCCTCTAAAAATCAATCCAGTTGGATTAAATGTTCCTGACTACCTTATGAAAGTTTTTCAATCTTAAACATCTCTCTTAAACTTGGTTTGTGTTCAACTGTCAATAGTAGTATCTTGTTTTGCCTTTCTCCGAATGGCAGTTTTACTTTCAGTAATGAATATAAAAAAATTAAAGCAATATTTATCTTGACTAGCATAAGACTATTCTCAATGCTCTTAGCCTTGCAATCTGTACTTTAATTAGTTTTATTTAAATATTTTCTTCTGTTATACTATGTTCGTGTGTCATTTGGATTTTTCTTTCTCTCTCTCTTTTTTTTTTTTTTTGATTTGGTTTCACTTCTTCTTTTGGTTGGCTTTGTTTCACTTCTTCTTTTGGTTGGCTTTGTAGGAAATATAAATTTCCCTTCATTTTACTTTCCACAGGCCATCTTAGAAACTTTAGTACCTTTTTAAAACTTATGCCAAAGAAAGCTTCATAAACATTTGTGAAACAGTGTACTGCCAATACTTTTAGCTGAGCTATATTTTATTTTTAATAAAAGCATGTATTAGTATTCATGGGAGAATATTATATATTTTGAGCTCAGTCACATTTCCATTTGGCTGCTGTGTAGAAATAATTTTTCTTTTTATGTAGAACTTATCAGAAAATTTTTAAAAAGGAAAAGAGCATTTGAAAGCCATTACCCTGCCACTGGCAAATGATGCAGTGGTCATCATTATATATGAAAATTATTTTCACCTAAGTAGAAGATGATTCTTCATTGACAAATACAATAACAAGCATGCATACTTAGGAACTCATTTACCTAAAAATATGGATGTTGTGGTAGGCAGAATAATGGCCTCCTCAAAGATATCCACATCCTAATGCTAGGAACCTGTAAACATGGAGACATTGTATTTGTGAGTTTCTTCTGGCTACTGTAAGAGATTACCACACACTTAGTAGCTCAAAACATTACTATTGTATTATTTTATAGTTCTTGAGGTCAGAAGGTAAAAGGGGTTGGCAGAGCTGTGTCCCTTCTGAATTATCTAGGGGAAAGTTTGTTTCCTTTCCATTTTTAATTTCTGGGGGTTACATACATTTTTTTTGGCTGGTGGTCCCTTTCTCCTTCAAAACAATCAGAATAACACCTTCAAATCAATCTCTCTCCCCCACCACCACTGCTCTCTCTCTTTCTCTCCTTGATCCTCCTGCTTCTATTTTATATGACCCTTATGATGACATTAGACCCTCACCTCTATAATCTTGAAAGATTTTTTGTTTCTAAGGTCCTTTACCTAATGGTTTCTGCAAAATCCCTTTTACCATTTAAAGTAACTTATTCACAAATTCTGTGTATTAGAATGTGGACACTGGGGCATTATTCAGGTTACTGGAGTCACAGATAGAGTTTAGATTGTTAATCCTCTGACCTTAAAATAAAGAGATTATTCTGGATTATATAGATGACCCCAATTAAATCACAAATGCCTCTGAAATGAAAGGAGGCCAAAGAGGAAGTCAGTGTGATGCAATGTGGAAAAGGCATAACCCACTGTGTCTGGCTTTGAAGGTGAAGAAAGGGGACCATGAGCCAAGGAATGCAGACAGCCTCCAAAAGCTGAAAAGGCAGATCTCACATTACAGGAACAAAATACAGCTCTGACAACACATTGACTTTAACTCAAGGATTTCCATTTAAAACTTCTGACTTACAGAACTGAAAAATAACAATGTTTTATTGTTTTAAGCTGCTAAATTTGTGGTAATCTGTCACAGCAGCAACAGAAAACTAATATGGGTACCCATTAAAAAAAAAAAACAGCAAACTGGTTAGTGAATTATCTCATAACATTTTTCTTTCACTTAAAAAAGTTTCATTCACTTAGAAAAGTCTTAAATACATAATACATCTGGTGAAATAATCCAGATCATGGGAAATGTGTGCTTACATGGAGCATAGTAAAAATATGTTTGTGGCTTCTCTTCACTATTCTTGAGACCATTTTGGTTGCTTTGACATCTGAAAAAAATTATTGACTGATTTGTGTGTAATCACTGCCTTGCTTTTGTTAACATTCAAGGAAATCACAGTGACTACTGTGAGATGTAATACATTTTATATGTTTTCAGATACATTTAATGAGAAATTCATAATCTTTGATTTAGTATCTACAAATCCCTGGCAAGCAGAGAAAGTTTCTGCTTCTATAATTCGATTTTATCCCAAAAGAGTTAAATTTAGTTAAAACAATAAACTGCAAGCCACGAAAATATATATTTTGATTTTATATTGTACATTTTGAAATTCTTCTTGTAAAGTATAGCTTTTGTGGTATGTGACTAATACTAGTACTTAACAACAAGTCTTAGGAAGAGGATAACATGTTTTATTTTGAAGATAGATATCCACAAAGAGATGGCCTTTAAAGTAACATGGACTACAGGTAATATAAGAACTGTTTGCATTTCCCAGAAGTGCTGGGGAAATTCTCTCTGTGCTATCAGCACTAGCCTCATTTAGTTATGTTATTTTTTAACACATGTGGTTCTTAGGTGCACAGACCCTTGGACCCAACCACCTGTGTTTGAGTATTAATTCTGTTACTTGTTAGCTTAGACACTTTGGCCAACTTAACTTTCTCATGCCTCAATTGTTTTCATTGTAAAATGAAGAGGATGGTAATAGTACGTACTTCAAAAGGAATTCAATGTAGCCTTTCTATATTTGTGGATGCCATCCTCAAACTCTCTGCGGAGAGACCCATGTCACGACAAACCGAGGGTTCTGGCTAACAACTATGCTGGAGAAGTTCGATATATCAGTCAATGCTTCAGATGACTATAATACTAGCCAAAACCTTGACTGCAACCTCATGAGAGACCCTAAACCAGAACCACCCAATTAAGTTGATTCAGATTTCTGACTATCAGAAATTGACCTATATATTAAATGTTTATCATTAAAAGCTGCTAAATGCTGTGGTTATTTGTTGAATAATAGATAATTAATGCAGTAATTAAAATATAAATATATATATAAAATATTTTCCCATCCATGGGAACTTAGGAGTTCCCATTCCAAAGGGAAAAGATGAGTATTCCAACCTAGTCATTCTGTAGAGTAAGTCTTCCTGCTCGCACAGGCTTGTTTGTGTCTCTGGTATTTCTTTGGGGCTCTGCTCATGTCTGTTTCTTAGTAGGCTTAGGATCACGGTCCTAGTCATGACTTCTGCCTTCAGCGTTAGATTATGATCATTTAAGTTTAGTTTGAGAGAAAGTGGACAGATGAGCCCAACAGAGTTGGATGTGAGAACTCATAATTAATAAGTGAGAAGGATAAGCATGTGTGTGTGTGTGTCTGTGTGTGTGTGTCTGTGTGTGTGGTAGGTGAATGCATTAAGGATTCACCATTTTGTAATGAATTGTATTATTTAACAGGCCTTCAGGGCAAAATATTTTGAGAACCTATTAATAAAACAGGAAAACTAGTTTATGTACAAACAAAACTTATAGTGTCTAATTGTGGTGAAGCCTACATAAAAAATTATTGGTCGTTGATTTGCCAAATAAATAACTTTTGATGGGTTTGGTTTCTAAGGACGTAATGTTTAATGAATGTTATGGGTGTATATTATTTGTCTACTTTCAACTTAGGGCAAATTAGGACTAAATTTGAAAGTACTGATTGCCTTCTTATTTTATTTATATTTTTATTTAAATAACATAACTCCTAAGAGTCTTAAATTATTGAATCCAGGATAAATATGAGATTGATTTTATTCCTTTAAATTTCAAAAATCCCTGGTTAGTTTAACAAGTTTATGCTGCCATCCTGCTGTCTTTATGTTACATAATTCAAGAAATACCTGATTTTTCCAAGATCTTTCATGCAATTAGCAATCATGGTTTTATATCATGTATGGACAGAGCTGAAGTCTTTATTCCCAGTGTGTGTGTGTCTGCGTGAGGGTTGCTTGCATGCGCAAAAGCATAAATATCTCTCAACTAACTGAGCCAATTCTGCTATATTATTAGTTAGTGACTTTGAGAAAATAATCTGAATAAAAGAAAGGGATGGCAGCTTAACCGGAAAACAAAATGAATAGAGTGAGAGACTCCTTAGCCCTAGAATCCCCTTGAATAAATAGAATAAACAAAGACGCATTATGCATATTCCCAAGCTTGAGATCCTACTGTAGCATTTTTTGCACCTAAACACTTAACAAAATTCATCTCACTTTATAAATTTTATTGAAATGTGAATTCATGTAACACAAAATTAATAGTTTTAAAGAAAAAAAATCAGTCACATTTAGTTCATTCACAGCCATTACCTCTATCTAGTTCCCAAACATTTTATCACTCCAAAAGTAAATCCTGCATCCATTAAGCAGTCACTCCCCATTTTCTTTTTCTCCTAATCACTGGTAACCATCAATCCACATTTTGTCTCTATACATTTACCTATTCTAAATATTTCATATAAATTGAGTCATACAATATGTGATTTTTTGTATCTGCCTTCTTTTGCTTAGCATAGTGTTTTTGAGGTTCATCGACATAGCATATACTGATATCTTATTCCTTTTTATGACTGAATAATATCTCATTGTATGGATATCCCACATTTTGTTTCTTGATCCAATGGATGATGAACATTTGGTCTATTCCCTCATTTTAGCTATAGTGCATTGTGTTGCTATGAATATGTGAGTACCTGTATTAATTCGAGTACCAGTTTTCTTTTCCTTTATATATATACATAGGATAGGAATTGCTGGATCATATGGTAATTTTATGCTTTTTGGAGAGCTACCAAACTGTGTTCCACAGCTTCTGCACCATTAGCCTCTGCATTGTACACTCCCATTGGTAAAGTATTGAGGATTCCAGTTTCTCAATATCCTTGTCAAAAATTGTTACTTTCCTTGTTTTTATAAAAATTATAGCCATTCCAGTGGATATGAACTGGTGTCTCACTATTGTTTTAATTTGCATTTCCTTAATGATTAATGATATTGAGCATCTATTCTGGAGACAAGAGCTTTATCATATATTTAATCTACAAATATTTCTCCCTTTGTGTAGGTCTTTTAATTTTACTGATAATGTCGAACAAAACATTTTTAGATTAAGCTCAATTCCTCTATTTTTTATTTCAATCCATGTGCTTGTGATATATCCAAGTATTCATTGCCAATCCAAGGTCATGAAGATTTACTCCTACGTTTTCTTTTAAGAGTTTTATAGTTTTATGTTTTTAGATCTTACACTTAAGTTGTGGATCCATTTTTGAGGTAATTTTTGTGTGTGGTATGAAGCAGGGGCCCGGCTTCATTCTTTTGCACGTAGATATCTAGTTGCCGCAGCACCATTTGTCAGAGGCTATTCTTTCCCAGTTGAATGACATTGGCATCACTGTTGAAAATTAATTGACCATGATATGGATTTGCTTCCAGACTCTAATTTCTATTTCTTATGCCACTACCACCGTGTTTTGATTACTGTAGCTTTATAGTAAGTACTTAAGAAGTGTGAGTCCTCCAACTTTGCTCTTCATTTTCAATATTGTTTTGGCTATTTGGCGCACCTCACGACTCCACAGAAATTTGAGAATCAGCTTTTACATTTCTACAAAATGTGTTATTGGAGTATTGACAGGAATTACATGGATTCTATAGATTGGTTTAGGGAGTATTGCCATCTTAACAATATTAAGTCTTTCAATCAATAAACATGGGATGTCTTTCCATGTATTTAGGTCTTTAATTTCTTTCATCATGTTTTGTAGTTTTCAGTGTATGTCTTTCATCTTCTTGGTTAAATTTATTCCTAGGTATTTTATATGCTATTGTAACTATAATTTTTTTCTTAATTTCTTCTCCAGATTGTTCATTGCAGGTGTATAGTAACAACTGTTTTATGTGTGTTAACTTTGTGTTTGCAAATTTGTTGAATTTGTTTATTACCTCGTAGTTTTTTGTGGATTCTTTGGGATTTTATACTTACAGGATTATGTCTCTGAATAGATAAGAGTTTTTCTTCTTCCTTTAAAATCTAGATTCCATTAATTTCTTGTTTTCTAAGTGTTCTGCCTAGTACTTCCAACATTATGTTGCATGAAGGTGGTGAAAGTAGGCAGGCTGGCCTTATTTCTGATTTTAGTGGGAAAACTATCTTGCTCTGCTGAGTACAATAATACTGGGTTTTCCATAAATGCCCTTTACCATATTGAGAAAGTTGCTAACTATTCCTAGTTTTATGTGTGTGTGTGTGCATATATCTATCTATCTATCTATCTATCTATCTATCTATCTATCTATATCTATGGGGTGACTGCTCCCAAACTTTGGTCACAATAATACAGCAGTATTTACTGCTTCTAAACATTTGCCACAATGATAAACTTTTGTCACAATAAGACAGGAATAACTTTTGTTACTTTGCTCTATTCCATTCCTCCACCTAGGTTCTGAACTAGCCAACTGAATGCATTCAAGGACATGTAGAGCACATTATGATAGAAGAAAAAAAAATACACTTTGTCTATGGCAGCTAACAAACTGAATGAAAGCATTTAGAAGATACAGGGTAAAATCAGAAATGCAGGGATATCATAACACTCAAAGCCCAAGATCATATACAAGAAGCATGTAAACTATAGCTTTTGTCCCATGTTTACATCTATAATTAAAATGTAACTGTAGTTACTTCTAATTTGTTTTGTTTGTTTGTTTGTTTGTTTTTTTGAGACGGTGGTTTGCTCTTGTCGCCCAGGCTAGAGTGCAGTGATGTGATCTTGGCTCACTGCAACCCCCACATTCCGGGTTCTAGTGATTCTCCTGCCTCAGCCTCCCGTGTAGCTGGGATCACAGGCACCCACAACCACGCCCAGCTAATTTTTGTATTTTTAGTAGAGACAGGGTTTCACCACGTTGGCTAGGCTGGTCTTGAACTCCTGACCTCAGGCGATCCACCTGCTTCAGCCTCCCAAAGTGCCGAGATTAGAGGCATGAGCCACCGCGCCCAGTCAGAACTGTAGTTACTTCTTATATCTCTTCAAAATAAATGGTTTATTGTTTGACAAATCGATGCCATTGGGATTTTTAAAAGAAATAATTGAGCCAACACAATTATTTGTATTATCCTTTATTTGGAAAAAAAGATAAATAGGTAATTTACACACGTGTGGTTGGTATTTTCCGTAAGATATGTAAAGTTATGTTTTTTAAACAAAATTTATCATTTTGTGGCCAAATTTCTGAACTCAATTCACACTATAACAAAGGTTATATAATATAAATATGGACTTATGAACTCCATGGCTGGCTAGTAAAATATGATACTTAAACTGAAGTGTGGATAAAATACTTTGAAGTTATTTTTGTTAATAACTAGCTAATTTTAAAATTATGTTTATATTCTGCAATAACTTCAGATTTACAAAAATGTTGCAAAAAATAATACAGAAAGTTTAAATATACCCCTTATCAAACTTCTTCAAGTGTTAATATTTCACCATACTTACTGTAAGTTGCCATTTTTTCTGTCTTTTTATGTCTCTCTCCCTCCCACCTCCTTTATGTGTATCCATAAACATTTATTTTTTTTCTTAATTATTTGAAAGTAAGTGGCTGATCTGATGCCCATTTACCCATTGAATGCTTTATCGTGTATTTCTAAAAACTCATACATTCATTTATATAATCACAGTACATCAGCAAAATCAGTAAATTTAAACAACAGACCTTTTTTACATTTAACAAATTAACTCACTAATTTTCTTTCTCATGAAAAATAAAAATAAAAACAAAATCTGATCTAGGATATAATCCAATATTACACTTGTATTTGTTTTCAATGTATTGGGATAATTTTTATGATATTTATTAGTTCTGTGCTGGTTGGATGGTCACACAGTCTATCACCAAGCATCACATACAATGTATGTGTCTTTGATTTTATTATTTTGTTTTCTTCTCTTGAAACTGATAAACTCTTAAATTTGGAACTGTATATTCTAATTTTATTATCATTCTCTTAAAATGCCTGGCAATTGCTTTGTACGAACTATTTTATACAGTAGATTTCATAATGATTGTTATATGCGTGGTAATGTCTTTAAATGTGAGAGACCAGAATGACAAAAACTTATACCAAACAAGTGTCTGTTGTAATATAAAAACTTGAATGGGATGGTATTCTCTTAAAATACTATTTCAATATTAATAGTTTTCTAATTTTTTAATTAACCTCCAAATTAAATTGAAATTTAATCCATGCTTCCTTTTTTGTATTATTCATGATATAAAACAATTGCTTATACATCTGCCTGTCTGGCAAAAGTTTTAACGTACTTTATTATCATTTTTATTAAATCGTCTCCTAGCCTTCATATTTTTATTGCATACTGAATACAACAGAGATTAGATCTTCATTTGATGTGTAAGAAAAATATATTTTACTGATGTGATTTTTACCTTAACATATTGATCTCCAGAAATAATCCATACTTGAGCTACAATTCAAGGATTTAATTTTAAGAATATAGTAAATAGCTTTCACCTTGGAACAACAGCCCCATTCCCATTTCCTCTAATGAAGTACTGCTCCTCAGCTGCTATGAGTGCCACCCAAAATGTGGCAGTGCAACAATTGTTCATGGAGATACAAGGACATCAACTCTGTTAGTTTTTCAAACACAGATAATTTAAACCTCAGAAATAGTTTCTCTGGGCTAAGCCACATTAGAATTAAGAACAGTTTCTTCCTTGGCCTTCCTTCCTTCCTCCCACTTGTGAGGATTCAGAACAGCAGTGTTCTAACACAGTAGCAGACCCTCAACAAATGTCAATAATTTTCTTTCTGTCTCTATTCTGTTGTTCTTTAATTATATATTTGTATCAGTTTAAATATAATATGCTATTAAATAACTAGAATGCTTTCTAATTAGAAAACACACACACACACACACACACACACACAAGCTTTAAGTGGTGAATATTTATGTGGTACTATGATATATTATCATATAGCATAAATTTTATCTTTGAGCATATTACATATTAGAAATTTCT
The DNA here is from genome assembly GCF_000001405.40 of Homo sapiens. NCBI lineage: Eukaryota > Metazoa > Chordata > Mammalia > Primates > Hominidae > Homo > Homo sapiens. The sequence continues at coordinate 62,290,212 of NC_000006.12, read as the reverse complement.
TACTACACATGCAATTACCACTATTGGTCATCAGCAGAGCCAAGTCCTCATTTCCTTGTCTTTTCTTACAATCCTAAAGTATAACATAGAAGTTCTAAAAGAAACTGGAACTGATTTCACTTGTGTAGTTAGTGAAATTCAAAGAAATTAAGATATTAAAATAGCATCTTTTATATAATAAGTTCTGTTGGGCTCTACAGTAAATATAAGTGGGCCAGTCCTTTATTATAGTTTATTATACTCTGTTCTAGGCACCAAGGCATTAGATTGCTAAAAGAATATTAACACCATCATTCTCCATTATCATTATGTAAATTATTGGGCCAGGACAATTTTGGAAACATAGGGTTCTTATTGTGAGTTGGTTTTACTGAATCCTTTGAGTAACTAGTCAAGAGTTAGTTAATCCTTGGAGTAACTAGTCAAGAGTAGCTAATGTGGTATCCATAAAGTTAATAAGAACTCTGGAAGCAACAGAAACTGTGCTCTACTTGATAATGCAGGCTGGGTATTTTTTTATTAGTTTGCAAGGATTAGTCTGATTAAATGCCCTTTAGCCTGACCTTTCTTACAAGGGTGTGTGAAAATATTGAATATACAGTTTGTGCTTTAACCACAGAACATATTCTATGGTGCATGACTTATTCATCCTTCAAAACCAAATGTGGTTGGGGCAAAATTTTCTATAATATCCCATTTTAAAAATAATGTTAAAGTTACTAGAACTCCATTAAAAATGTTTTGGGGCTAGAAGTCATGTTTAAAATAAGATAAATCTTTACTTAAGTTAGGCAAATCAATTCAGTGGTGATTTAGGTTATTCATATCATTAGAAGAGGTGGGTTAAACAGCAGTTATAATTTATTCAAGGGTAGACACAAAATATTCTATATTCAACAATCATTTTTTAAAGTTTTTCTGTTTACATTTATGTTTATAAAATGTTTGCATTTTCAAGGTTTCTCTGAGAATATTAAAGGATAATGTTGTACCTGTAAAATATTTGCATGTGAAATAAATGGAGAACATGCAGTAACACAGAGCCATCTATTGAAAACACGTGGATCTGATGCTGGATGAGTGTATATGTAGGGCCCTTGGTGTTTGCCTTTATTTAGTCATATTCTGTTTAAAAATAGGCAACATTTTGTGAGATAATTCTGAAGCATATTGATTTTTAAGGGTCAATATACTTATATATCTTTATTTTACAATGTCCATCATGTAGTAAGTACACAAACTTTTCTAAAGATTATGTTAGAGTTTATTTTCTTTTGATTTTTTAAGTTGCATAAATATATTGCTTTGTTAGAATACATTTTAGGCATTTGATGAGGGATTACCTGAAGAACTACAAATAATAAATCTTTAGTTTTGATAATAACTAGAAAATATTAACTTGACTGTATTTATAATGACTTGAAGACATTGTATAATAAAGTCAGCACTTGGACAGCTCGCTGTGGTATCTTCTTATTAATCCTGTAATCATGGAAAAGATGGCTGTGAATAATAAAGTAGTTGTTGTTGCTGGACATTATAAGAGTTACTACACCTTCTTCATTCATGAAACTGGGTTTCTGCACGTCTCCATCCTCACCATATGCTTTTAATGTCTTGATATGCTGCAAAGCAAAATGTTATTGTAATTGTAAAATATTTTGTTCTAATTTACATTTATTCGAAAACATTTACAGTTTTTTGCCTGTGGTTGGCATCGTATTCACCCTTTACTACCATAGCAAATCGTAGCCACCTCTTTTAAGTTTGAAGCATATTTTCCCTTTATATCCCTGTTGCAGACCAGGTGCAGGATGCATGACCCTTCAACTACTAAACATTCTGCACACAGATAAAATAGCAAGAACTTTCTGTATATATACTCAATTCTAAATAATAGCTCCTTTGAAAGTAACATAAGAATCAGAAAGAGATTAAGAAGCACATCCAGAAAGATACCAATACTTTATGGTCCCCTATTACACTTAGAATAAAATCCAAATAATTTTCATTCATCAAATCTTCAGTGTTTGTACACATCAATCCCCCCTCCCTTATTGATTCCATTCTTTCCCATATTACAGTAGTCACATTGACCTCAGTCAATTCCAAAAGACAGCACAGTTCTTTCCACCACAGGGCTTTTTCAGGGGCAAGTTCCCCTGCTTGGAATGTCTTTCTTTGCACATTGTACTCACTTGGTTCATTCTTTTCCATGAGTTTTCACCGTAAATATCAGCTGCTTATCGAGATTGTATGTTTACCCTAGTCAAAAATAAAGAAACTAATGTCTTCCCTTGTATTCTCTTTCTTAACTCCTTGGTTCATTCTTGACCTTTATTGCAGTCAACAATTACCATTCCTCTTGTATACTTGGTTTTATTTATCTTCTCCCATTAGAAAACATCTTTGTGATGACAAGGAATGAATGTGTATGTATCTTATTCACCAATGTTTCTCCAATTTTAAGTACTGTCCCTAGACTCTTTTCAGTATCCAATAAACATTTGTTGAATGCACACATGCACAAATAAATTAAATATATAACACACAGAAAGGTAGGTTGAAGCAGTATATTCTGGATATAAATGGTGCTAATATAGAATTGAATTTTAATCTCAACTTCAGCATTAACTAGACATGAGACGATTTCTCTGTTTTGCCTCAGTTTCCATATTTATACAAACAGAGAAAGTAATACTTGGCTGGCATTTTTCAGAGTGCTTCTGTGAGGACGTATTGAAATAATCAATGTGAGGCACGTTACGTTATTTAAACATTATACAAATAAAAGTTAATCTCCCGAATTTATCTAAAAATTAAAAGGAAAATATTTAAATACAGTAAGATAAGTTGGAAAAATTTCAGCACATTTTATTTGTAGCAAAGTTGGCCCTCATTCTTCCACACCAAAAATAATGGGGGAGAGAAGAATCAGGAAATGACTACTTATGAAACGAGAACCCAAGACTTGGGGAAAGATTGTTTCCTAGCGATTGAGGCATGCAAGTTACATTTTATAGCCGCATTGGTAAAAGAAGGATGGGCTTTGCCTCCACGCTTGGTGATATCATGAGGGTTTAACTTTCCTTTAAATAGAGGTGGGATAATACAAAGTAGCTCAGCAACAGTACCTGGTGAAAGAGACTGGCACATCTAAAACTAGGAGAAAGGGGAAAATTAGAGCAAACGTGGTTACCTATTTTCTAGTCTCTTCTTTCTTCTACATGTCTTCCCAATTCTTTCACAAACTGTGACTAATGAATCATATTGTTTTTGGTTTTTAAATTCAGCCCCTCCCAACCTCCCTTCCACAGATAGGGTCTGGGGAAAGGAGGCACGGATAGGTTACCAGAACTAATTCAATATCCTAATGATTGTACACCTCAATCATGTCTCTGCACAATATTTCTTCGAGCCGCTTTATTTGTTTATCAATGAACATCCTACTGCGTCCCTGAGATGTAGGTCATCGGAAATACCAGCTGCCGATCACATGCAGTCTTCATTGTATTTCCAGACCCAGTGCGCTGCTGATTCCTGCACAACTGGAGTGCGCCTGAGCTGTGTGAGGGAAAGGAGACACCTGTGCCTTAGGGACGCAGGTGAAGTCCCATCTACCTTCCTGAGACTTTCCCTGGCGCTTTTCCACCCTCTCGGGTGGCTCACTTCTCATCTCCATCTCCCCTGTCCACTTGTACTCAGACCTCTCTCTTTAACCTGCGCTTTTCCCGCGCTCTCTCTCCTCTGCGCCTTAGCTGAAGACACAGAGAACTCCACAAAACTGGGCATGCCTAATAGCCAGGGAAGGCTTGGGCGCAAGAAGAAAGCGTTTGCATCTTCCGAGCTCCCTTCCCCTCTGCAGCTGCCTCCTGCCAGTCAGGCCACCCGACTTGCGCTACCGCCCAATGAGAGCCCGCGGCCTTCTGCCAGCGCCCCGCCTCTCCTGGCACCACCACCAATGAGTGGTTGGCGGAGGTGGGCCGCGTCCTGTTCCCGCCTCTCCAGTTAAGGCCGCTGGTGTGAGCCGGGGCTCTGCGCGAGCGAGGGACGACGGAAGGGACGGGCAGGTGTGGGCGCGGGGCCACGCAGCCCGACGGCGGGAGTCGCAGGTGCTGGGTGCATGGGCCAGTGAGGACGCACAGAGATCCCTCGCCGCGCGGAGGAGGAGCAGCGCGGGAGCCAGGCGCTGCCCCAAGACCCTGCCTGCGTCCGAGCGAGCGGAACCTCGCGCTTCGCCCGGGGACAATCCGAAGTCCGCGCTATGGAAGAGGAGAAATATTTGCCTGAGCTGATGGCAGAGAAAGATAGCCTGGATCCATCTTTTGTGCATGCGTCGCGCCTTTTGGCAGAAGGTAGGACTTGCCCCCACAGATGGGCACAAACCGCCGGCTGCCTATCTCACCCGCGGCTTGATTAGGGGAGTGAAGTTGGGGAGGGACTCCTCTCCCCGCCTTCGCAGAAACTGTCCCCCTGAAGATGCTCGCCTTAGAGCTCGGGCGGACAGACCCCGTTCTTGGGGCGGACAGCAGTGCTCCTTCTCCACGTCTTAATTTGGAGAAGACCAAAGCTACGGAGATCTAATGGCAGTGGCGATGTGACCTGTTAGGATCATTGATAGAGAAACCATAAAGTGTATGTAACGCGGTCTACAGGGACATTTTCACTTCGCAGAGGGAAGGGAAAGCAGTTTGGAAGTAAATGGTGATCAATGTAGTGTTCTAAGAGCTTCGTAGCTACAGATCGGTATTTTTATTTTTATTTTTTGCTGCATTTAGGAAGTGATTTTTGATACCCTTTAATCAAAGTCTATCCTATGGAAAGTGTTAGAATTAACCTATGCATTAAACTATGCATGTTCTTATATGTATGTTAATGTGGTAAGTAAAGGCTAAAGTGCTTATACATTTATTTGAAGTGTGATGATTGGGTACTCTGTGAGATATTGGTCCCTGGGAACACTCTATAATTGATCAACTGTTTTACCAAGTGTGCATTTTCTTTTGTGTACCTGTAATGTTAAAGGGGATTTCATTCCTAGAGGAACACATATGTCTTGTTTTTTGCATTGCTTTGAAAGGTTTTTTTTTGAAAAAAGACACATGAACTTTATTAACCGAATTACTCCATTTATGTTATAATAATGCCATCTAAATACTAAAGACACCTATGGTATCTGTAGTTACTTACCCATGCCTTTTTAAAACATCTGCAGATTTTTTTTAGATGAATGCTTCATTAATAATGAATTGCTTCATCATCAAATTGGTTACAATGCAGTTTTGTAGCTAAGTTTGTTATGGACTTACATACAGCAAAAAACTAAAACGGATAACTTCCTCTACCCAAGCTCCTCAGTATTAAAAGATTTTTTTGAGACTTAGTTGTACCAAGGAAGAATAAATTCTGCTCCTCAATATATGATTTAAATAGGCATTAGCTATATTTTTTAATTTATGAATTGTTATTTATATTAACAATGAAGTGTAAGGTATTTTTCTATGTTTAAATACTAAACAATTAGGAAAAGATTTATATTCAAAACATGGAACATGTGAAATAACTAAACTGTTTTCAGGGAAAAAGCTAGTTTTATAGATAAGTGGGAAGGTGAAATACAATTATGCCTACTACTTTCTTGGTTACTGAATGAAAAAAAATATAAATTAAAGTGGAAAAGTAAAGTCAATAAAAACGAACTTTTTTTACTTTCCCAAAAAAGACAACTACATAAAAATAATAGCAAAATAATGTGTTAATAGATGTTTAAGATTGTTTGAAATGATTTAAAAGGCAAGTCTTACCAGTCTTCAGTATCTTTAATATATTTTGAATAGTCTTCAATATATTTTCCAGAATTTTCTTTATGTAGCTTATAATATGTCTTTAAAGTGAAAAAAAAGTTACAAATTGATCATTCTCTCTGACCCGCTAATTGGAGTTCTATTTGAGACAAGTGGCTCAAAGATTAATTCATCAGTCATTAATATGAGTTATTGTACTTGAAGACGGCCAAGCTAAATAAATGCATACAAGAAACTCTTAACAGAGTGCATAAGTATTTCTGTGGCTGGTAAAACAGTCAGAGAATGCACTTGGTTCCTTAACATTTTATCTTTCCTAGGAACTTGATTTCTTGATATAATACTTAGGAACATGTTCTGATGTACCTTGTAATTTGATTTTTTCCCAGCAGGGGGAAGCATGCCCTGCTTTTGTAAAGAATTAGAAGGAAAAGCTCCTAAATAGAGAAAAACATCTAAGTAAGAAACAAAGAGGTTACCCAAATTTCAGAGAAATCAGAATGAGGAAAAGAGAATGGAGGAGGTTATAATAATCTTGGAGTACCTAAAGAGTTATGCAAAAGGGTGCATAGGTTTTATATTAGCTCTCTGTACCTGGGGCTCTTTACATGTGCTAATTAAAGAGTGTAAGATGATTGTTCTTGGAATCTCAATAATCTTAATGTATATTTTATGGTATAGATCTTTCATTATCTTTCCAAAGGCCAGTTGCCAAGATGTCCACGCTTAGTTTCAGATCTCTATAGAAGAGTATGGTTGAGATTATTTTATTTCTCATACCTGAGAATGCACTGATTGAAGGGAGTGGCTGTAAATAAACCTGACATAGATATTCATTTGGAAAGAAGGTGCAAAGTACATTTCAGTCAGTACTGTGCAGACAGTGTCAAGCCTGAGTGAGTAGTAAAAATGATACAGATGATTCAGTTCTTCAGAATGATTTTCCGGAAGCTAATATATATAAAGGCAGTAGTATAAACCAATGAGATTTCACAATGATTTATTTTGCATTTTGATTGGTGATACAGGCAAATCAGTGCTCAATTGACAGTGCTTCATGTAGAATTGAAGGCTGTGGGGTTGAAAGTACTAGTTGGATGTTTATTTGGGGTTTTTGGGGGGTCCATTGTAGTTTGTTTTATTTCACTTGTTTGTGCTGTGTGTTTTCAATGAGAATGATTTCAGTTGATTGTTACTCAGAAGAGTTCTTGAATAATGTAGTTTGAAGTTTGTTTATAATATGCTTAAATAATTAAAATAATGTTCATCCTGCGATTATAATGTTGTTTAGTTATCCACTTGTTATGGTAGGTGCTTTTGAATATGATAAAACAGCAAACTCAGGACTATCCTTAAAGTTCTACTCAGTGTCTGAATTTGGTTGCCAGATGAAATTACATAAGTTTATTTATATCTTTTCTGCTTCTGGGAAGTGCATTAAACTGTGAATCTAGATACCTAGATTTGAATTCCACTTTAACCTCAACTGAATCTGGGTAAGCTTTCTTTCCCTGGGCCCAGTTTCCTTGTCTCTCAAATTAAGGAGTTGGACTAAGTGATGTATATGTTTTTTTGCAATTCTAATTAAGTCTCAGGCTACTGATGATACAACGAAGTGATGTTTGTATATTCGGAACAAAAATTCAATGGCTGCACATTTTTGAAACTTTTTTCATTCTTTCCTAGTTTAATGATTAATAATATATTTATGGCACTAAAATGTAATTTGAGGCATATACTTTATTTTGGGTACTGGGGACAGATTTATGTTCTTAAGTCTATTGAACTACTATTAATGTTTGAGGCCAAAAATGTATATACATGAAAATATTATCTGGAAATATTCTGTGTCTGCTGACAGACATAGATCTGTTCAGATTTATATATTCAGTTATGGTGATTCCATACTCCTAGGAGCATTATAAATTTTTGTCCAATTAAGAGAGGTTTGGGGAAGATTTTCTAGCCTGAAATCTTTGCAAGCACTGAAATAATCATAACCATTTTGGTTGACTCATTATATGACGATGTCAAATATTGCCAAATATTCCAGCAGTTCGAATGGTTTTCAAAAAACTGTAGGCGCTATTTTCAAACTTTAGTAAAAAGTTTGACCTGCCATCTAGACTTGGCCTTTATTTCTGCAGATATAAATGAGATCTTAAAAATATTAAGAAAAGAGGGATTAATACTTACCACACATGCAAACTTGTGAGTTAACTACATTTAGATTATCAATAAGAACCATTTTTTAGTTAGATCGTGTTTCTTAAATATTTTTCATAAAGCTTGATAAGTTTTTTAATTAAGGAAAGTTATTAGTGTCATGTCTAAAACAGCTTCTGGTTAAAAAATAGTGTTCCTGTGACTCTTTAAAGTGACTTTTCTTTTGATTAACGTAATCACCTTTTTCTCCCAATAGACTTGGGATAATCTTATGTTTCTTAAATACAAAACAAACATGGGCAAAAAATTAAATTCAAGTTATCTTTGATCTTCAATTAAGACAATTTATGATATAGTGGAAAATTTCTACTTTGACAAGAAAAACACTTGGGAGTGATTATTGACACTTCTACCTACTGGGAAATAAAGGATGTGTCATTTTTTTTCCACCTCTCTGATACTCAGTTTCTTCATCTATATAACAGGAAAAGTGATACCTACCAGGCAGGGTTCTTTTAAGATGAAAAAACAAAAACAAAAACAAACAAACAAAAAACAACTTCTGCTTGTGATGCTTGTGATAACATAAGCCGTATTTTAAAAATTTATTTTATTTTATTTTTGAGACAGAGCCTTGCGCTGTTGCCCAGGTTAGAGTGAAGTGGTGCGATTTTGGCTCACTGCAACCTCTGCCTCCTGGGTTCAAGCAATTCTCCTGCCTCAGCCTCCCAAGTAGCTGGGATTACAGGTGCGTGCCACCACACCCGGCTAATTTTTGTATTTTTAGTAGAGACTGGATTTCACCATGTTGGCCAGGCTGGTCTCAAACTCCGAATTTTGTGATTGACCTGCCTCATCCTCCCAAAGTGCTAGGATTACAGGCATGAACCACTGTGCCCGGCCAATAATTTTTATGTGTATAACAAAAATATAAGCAGAAATTAAACAAACATAACATGATGATGCACCTCAATTTGAGAAAATAAGTAAAATAAACACTGCCTTACTTTAGATTACTGCTGAGTTACATTTGAACTCATAAAGCAAATTATGAAATAAATTACCTTATGAAAAAGGATTAGATTGAGGGTTTTAAAAATATCATGTTTAGTAAATGATCACTTGTCAGTCTTTAACCATGGGCTTGATTAGCCCTGGTCCTATTTATTTCAAGAGTAATTTCAGACCTATTCAGGCTTCATCTTAAACCCACATGTTCTTCACTCTCAGCAGGTGATTTCATCATCTGTTTTATTGGAGGAAATGGATATCTCTCTTCTGCTATTCCTCAACCTCCTACCACCTAAAAACTTCCATAGCCATCGTCATTGTCTTTCATTCCCAGAAGACCAAATGTTTCTTTTCTTCAGGGTTGACTTGCCATCCATATCCTTGACCCAAATGCTCTTCATCTCTGGACTCATTCTGTAGTTAAATCCTTTATTTGTATCTCCTACTCTTTCTCCCGATCGACTCTTTCTTTATAGCAGCTGTCAACATGATTCAATGTGAATAATTTGAAGAAATAGAATACTTCTTTCACTTGCCACAAATATTGGAAAATAATCTCTCTTGACATTTGTCCTTCCTTGTTTCCTTCAAACTTCTGATAATACTAGTATATACTAGCTGCCTCACTTTCTTAATTTACCTTTTTAGAATTATTCGGTTTGGCTTCTGTCTTCATCACTGTCCTGAAACTGATGACCCTAGTGACAGAATAATCTCATATTGCCAAATTGAGTAAATTTTTTCTGACCCCTTATCAAGTCTCTTGGCTGCACTTTCCACTGTTGACCTTCTTCTGATTTCTTTCCATCTTCCTTGTCTTCTGGGCACTATATTCTACTGGTTTTACTTCCTTTTTTGACCGTTTCTTGCCCTCATCATCCTTCATTTCCCTCCTTCCCACACCAACACACACAATGCTGTCACAGTAATTCATTTAAAGTCTCACCATGTCACACTTCTTAATAATTTCCATTGCCTGCAAGGCGTAGTCCATACCCCTTGACGTTCTTATAATATGCTTACCTCTCCAGAAGCATCTCTTCAGCCTTTCTGCTTAATTTCTCTCAGGTATACCAAACTGCTTATAATTCACTCTCTACACTCCCTTGACATTCCCATACCTATTCACAGAAAGCTAGATATTTTCCCCTCATTCCCATAACGAACGCCTCTAGATCACTATTCAAACTGTTATTTTAGAATGATCAGGTTGTGCCTGTCTCTCTCACTAGAGAAACAGCTCCTCTCTGTCTCCTCTTGAGGAGCAGAACCAAGTCTTTTTCATCACTATATTAGCAGCACTTTTCACAGTGCCTGGTATGTGATGGTGCCAGGTAGAGGCCAAACAGGCTTTTCTCCATCAGATTTGAGAACCAGCCCCCTGTTGGCCCCTCTGCTACCTCTTCCGCATGTGAATAACACTTGCTCTTCTCTCTGTCCTCTCCTATCTCTAAGGTGTTGCACATGCTAAGACCTCACTTTAGAATGCCCTTTCTAGCTTCTCTCCATGATTATAATTTATCTTCATCCAATAAAACTGAGTACTGCTATTCCTTCTTCTAGTAAGCCTTTCATAATGGCTTCTCATCTAATTCATTATAAATTAAGTGCACTTCTGGTTTTATTTTCAACCTATCCACCACTACTACATTGCAACATGCAATTCTTTTTGATCTTGGTTGTCTCCCCCTCTAAGCTTGAGGGCCATACTATGACTTCTGTCTTTGAATTTTTAATGCTTGCCTTCAGTCTTATATGTAGAAGGCCTCAATAAATGTTTCTTAACTGAATGATGCTGACCTCATATCTTCCTTTTTCTCCTACCATGTGTTTAGAAGATATCTCCAGAAACAATTTTTCAGTAATTCTGTCACTTACAATGATAATACTAATTCAGTCATATTTTATCTTTGCATAATTCAAAACCTCAGGAGGCCACTTTGAAAGTTTCCATTTGTTTTTAAGTCAATTTTGAAAAATTATTCATATGCAGGAAGTTGGAAAGATAGTACAGGGAAGTCCTTCTTTACTCTGTGAGGTATCTGAGAATCTGCCCATTTGTTTCTTTGTTGTTTGGATTGAGGCTTTGTGTGTGTCTGCTTTTTATTTATTTTTATTTATTTATTTATTTATTTTTTGAGATGGAGTCTGGCTCTGTCACCCAGGCTGGAGTGCAGTGGCACAATCTCAGCTCACTGCAAGCTCCGCCTCCCGGGTTCAGGCCATTCTCCTGTCTCAGCCTCCTGAGTAGCTGGGACTACAGGCACCCGCCACCACGCCTGGCTAATTTTTTGTATTTTTAGTAGAGACGGGGTTTCACCGTGTTAACCAGGATGGTCTCAATCTCCTGACCTCGTGATCCGCCCACCTCGGCCTCCCAAAGTGCTGGGATTACAGACGTGAGCCACCACGCCTGGCCGTGTCTGCCTTTAATACTTCTGAGTTGCTGGCTTTTCTAGCACTCAGTCTGGCACATACGCGGCACAAAGAAAATCTAAGAAAACCATTGAAATGTCATTCCCGAATCTTGTGGTACTGAGACAATTGGCCTCCTTTTTTCCACTTTCTAGAAAAGAAAGTCTTCTTATGTTTATCTGTAATGTCCCATCCGCATTCATTTATGTGTTTTAATTTATATTTTTATGAAATTTTCTTTTGATTGACTATTAGGCCTTGTACATTAATATTAATATTTCATTGACTAGTTATATAGGAATGAGCATGACCACGATAAATTCATCTAGATAATGGACACAGTAGTATTCTCTATATTTATCTGATTTTAAGGTTTTTTTATGGCCTGGTACCTGAGAATGGGAACATAACTGATCATTATTCTCAGTTTCTCTTTATGTATACAGTCTATAGTGAAGCTGTTTGTTCCCACAGCAGCTGTACAAGGGGAGGAAGTGAGGTTTGGAGGTAGTTTTTAGAAACCCCTGGAAATAACTGTGTAGTATCATCAGCTTTCCTTTTGCACTTATTTGAGCACTGAATTTGATCTTTCTTTTTGGTTTGGCTATATTATGAGAAATATATCTTCATTGGAATTATATTCTGGCATCAGTTTGATTTTTTAAAGCTATAAACCGTGTAATATTTAATATATTTCATAGATCAAAATTTGGTACTATTCCCCACAAACTGCTGAATTCCAATAAAATAAACTGAATTTGGAAATTTTTTTAGAGGTGGAATAACCACTAATAGATGATATTCTACATTAATGTTAGCAAATATCCATATTATATGGCTTCCTCATCTTCTCAAGTGCAGAGTTCTGTAGTGATTGCATCTTTTATTTGCCAAATACTTGTGAGGTCATGGCCAAGCATCCTCTTGCTCCATTGTTATTAACTTTTTTGGAGGAAAGAAGTCATTTTTAGCACATCCTCCATTTGACTCATAACAGTACTTCCAAAAAGATTTTGCAGTATAGAGAGATAATAAACAATCATAAAAGCATTAGGCTATTTACCTTATATTTTAGTTATAGTTTGGAGGATTAATTCCATCAGACTAGTACTCTACTGCATTTGACTACACAATCACATATGCCCTTGAATGTGTGTTGTTAAAAACTGCATATGGGCCGGGCACAGTGGCTCACGCTTGTAATCCCAGCACTTTGGGAGGCCGAGGCAGGTGGATCACAAGGTCAGGAGATCGAGGCCATCCTGCCTAACACGGTGAAACCCCATCTCTACTAAAAATACAAAAAAATTAGCCAGGCGTGGTGGCGGGCGCCTGTAGTCCCAGCTACTCGGGAGGCTGAGGCAGGAGAATGGTGTGAACCCGGGAGGTGGAGGTTGCAGTGAGCCGAGATCACGCCACTGCACTCCAGCTTGGGTGACAGAGCAAGACTCCGTCTCAAAAACAAAACAAAACAAAACAAAAACAACAGAAAAACCCAAAAAACTGCATATGATATGTGCTATTAATAAATGAAGTATCAAATGTTTAATTTATGGGGTTTATAATCTATAGGGGATTCAACTACATATATAGACAGATATTTATATATATACATATATGATATAAATAAGTATATGGAAGGTCTGATAGATTTTACAGAAATTTTAGAGACCACTGATATAGGAATTCAGAGAAAGTCATAACTTCTGTTGTTTATGGTAATGAGAGATTTATCATTATTACCATTATCATCATCTCAACATTTATTGAGTTTACTCTTTGCCAGACACTGTACTAGACGATGCATTACCACAAGTAATCTACCCACCAACCTTATTGTGTAGTTATTAGCATTAGTTTTACAAATTAAACAAATTAAGGCTTAGATAAATTAATTTATATCAGGTCTCACAGCAAAGAAATTGTAAAGTTGAAACCCAGGCCTTTTCACCTAGATGCCACGTGTAACCATTACACCACATTGTCTCCTGTGATAGAGACCCAATGTTAGGCTTTGAAAGAATGTCAGCTATTAGTATGCACATTTTATCTAGAAGATCAATGTTGTTGTTGCCATTAACTTCTAAAATATGTTTCTGAATACAAATATTGGATGAATTATTATATGATATCATAAAATATAAGTATAGCTTATAAAAGTCAAATAAATTTATGAATGGGGGAATTTACCTTAGTATAGAATTGAATTAAGGATCATCAAGACAGCCTACTACATTTTCTGAATGACTTACATTGACTGCTTCTTAGAGAGCTTAGTGATGTGGTGGCAGAGCAGAGGGAACATTTCAGACTTCTTTGGACCCAAAAAGTGATTGGATAATTTTGTGTGGTTTGCTGAGGCATTTTTTTCCCCACATTTTTTAGAGAACTGCTTACATTTGCTGAATTCTTCTAGAAGCAAAGAACAACTGTAGGCCCTCTCTTGGGTCTTGAGGCAGTCAGGGTTTTGTTTAACATTTAGAAGTGAGCAAATTTTACGTTTGATCAGAAACAGAAGACAGTATAGCTTGATTTAAATGTTATCTGTATGTTCTGAGGTATTAGAATTTAATAACTTTGAAACAGATTGGCTGGTGTTATTATACTGTTATCAGAAATGCCACGATCGATGTCTGTTTCCTTTAAAACATTAAAGATTAGATTTTACTCTTCTTACAGAAAACCAGAATAAGTGTGTTTTCTCTAGAGCGTAGATATTTTTAGCAGGTTCATAGCGTTGTATGCTAGATAATGATGAGCCCTGACTGCAACTCAGGAGAGGGAGCTTCTGTGATAGAAACACAATAAAGAGGCTGAATGAGAAGAAATTTGTTTAATTTTGAGAAGAAGAAAGGGATGACTCAAGTAATGGCTGCTTTTTTTGAACATATACAGTGGCTTAGGTCTTTATATTCTGAGAGGCAGCTAATATTGTCCCTATTTTATAGGAAAAGATAAAAAGGAAGATTACAAGGTAGTACAATCAATTTGGATTTTTTAAAAAGCAATAAATCAGAGGTTAGGCAAATGTCCAATAAAAGTGTGAAAGAGTGTCAAAAAGCAGCCATTATACATTGAAACATCAAACAATATTAAAGAACATAACTTGTTTAAGGGAATAGCAAAATCTTGCTTTGATAAACTTTTAGAAGAGTGAACTAACTAGGTTACTTTAGAAATTGTTGTTTCCTTTAAAATAATTTTCTCCAGGAAATTTAAGGAATTGTTTTCTGGAACTTGATTTACATCCACCAGTACATTCATTTTATAAAAGAGTATTATAAAATGCAGACAGTAGATGAATGACTAAATAATAGAATACATTTACCATGATGTTTATTCCTGAAAATGATAAATGGAAAGACATTAGTAAGTGTAAAATTGGATTAAGAATCATCCATGTCTCCAGACAGTTTTAAGTTTTTTTTCTGGCAAAAAGTAGAAGCCACTTTTTTATCCATCCAAGACCTTGTGGAAAAGGGGGCCTTTAAGGAATTGTGGGAAGATGAAAGAACATTTGGTATGCTAAGGCAGATGGCATTTTATTATGATATTGCTTTGGAATGGACTTCAGTATGATAAATGGTTATGTATTAAGCTAGTCTTCTGAAATTACTGAAAGATTGGATATTGTGTCATCTCTACATAGGGAAAATCTGTTAGAATAAAACATTATGATAATTAAAAGCAATTTAATTAAGTCAGATAAGTATTTGGAATGAGTTTCAGTAAACCAAATGGTTTCCCTTTGAGTAAAATGAGTGGAATATATATGTGTGTGTGTGTGTGTGTGTGTGTGTGTGTGTGTATTTGATGAGCGATATATGTATATATTGTGTTTGTTAAGCATACGTTAATTGGGATGTGTATATATTTGATGAGCGATATATGTATATATTGTGTTTGTTAAGCATACGTTAATTGGGAATCAAAGAGAAGCAATACAGACTTGACCCAATTGGTTCTTATTGTTTGTGTTTTTCATTACTATTTGAGATTTACATTTAGTTTGAGGAGGGGGAAGGAGATACATAAAAATCTCCATAATACAATGATAAGAGAAGTAGATGATGCTTTAGGAGTTCGGGGCAGGACACCTAAACAAGCCTATGGAGATGAAAGGCTTCCATAGGAAGGGGCATATTAGTTGAGATTCTACAAATAAGTAGAATATGACCAGGATTCAGTGATGAAGCAGCTGTAAATTGGAGAGAATTATACATGGATGTGGTAAACAACATCTCTAAAATCTGATAAGAAAGAGAATATTTATTCAAATTGGTAGAAGTTAAGCATCATTGGAGACATAGTAAAGGAGAAAGAATCAAGAAGAGTGTGTCTAGAGAGAGTGGTAGAGGCTTATCACACATACCTTGTAAAATATGTTAAGAATTTTGGATTTTATGCTACAAGCAATGCTAAGTCATTGAAAGGTATTAAAAAGGGGCAAGTGTGATGGAGTTTTATTTAAAGTATGATGTAGCTGCATTGCTGGAGACTGGATTGGATAGGTACAAGACATGGGCAGGCCATCAGGTAGCTACAGCAACAGTTCGAGAGAGAAGTTACAGTGGCCTGGATTCAAATAACAATATCATAGACAGGGAAAAGTAGACAGATCTAGGGAGGCTGAGGTGGGCAGATCACGAGGTCAGGAGTTCAAGACCAGCCTGACCAATATGGTTAAACCCCGTGTCTACTAAAAATACAAAAATTAGCCAGGTGTGGTGGCGCACACCTGTAGTCCCTGCTACTCAGGAGACTGAGGCAGGAGAATTGATTGAACCCAGAAGGCGGAGGTTAGAGTGAGCTGAGATCGCGCCACTGCACTCCAGCCTGGGTGACAGAGACTCCATTTCAAAAAAATAAAAAATAAAAGAATTCAAGTAAAATGTAAAGTGTTGGGTTGGATAGAGGGGCTGAAAAATAAAGGGTGGTCAAGTTGGCTATCTAGGTTGCTCATTGGTAATTAGTTAATGACAGTGTCAGTTACTGAGATATTTATTAAAAGAAGGTTAATGCTGAGTTCAGTTGGATACACACTGAAGGGACTGTGAAGTGTTCAAGTAAAAATGCAGGTGGAGAGTTGGGTCTGGAGAAAGATGGTGCTGCAGACAATGGTTTACGTTTTACTAGCATCTAGGTGATAATTGACCTTTGGAGTAGAAGAGATCACCCTGAGAGAACATATAAAATGCAATAGAAAGGACACTTAGGATAAAACTCTGAGGAATAACAGTATTTAAGGGAAAGACAGGAGAAAACTCATCTTCAAAGTTGACTAAAAGGACTTTACTAGAATGTAGGTAGGAAAGACCAAGTAATTTCAGTATCGGGTAAATAGGGTATTTGAAGAATGAAGGATTTGTTCAATATTTTCAAATGTTGCAGTAGATCAAGTAAGACAAGGATTAAGGGCCTCTAATGGATTTGGCAACAAAGAACAGACTGAGAGAAGGGTTGGACAAAATCCCTTATTTCTGCAAGTTGAAGAATGAATAGGAAGTGAGGCTATGAGAGAAGGTAGGAGAACTCACTGAAGAACTTTGACTTCATAGGGGAGGAGAGCTAGGAGTAAGTAATATGTTGAACTGTATGAAATTGATAATATTTCATCATTTTGACCTGAAAAAATAGCAATTTTGTGTGATTTAATTTATAAATGGGGACAGTAAAATGAGAGAGGCATTTGAGGGTAGTGGCTGAAAACAGATGCTGAAGCTAGACTCCCTAAGTCCATTATTTCTTCCTAGAATTAAAGACCCATGTTATTCTGAGTGAAGTACTTTAACTTATGTATCCCTTTTTTTTCCTCATGTGCAAACTGGGTACACTCTTAGTTCTAAACTGAAAAGGTAATGACAGCTGCATATTGTTTCTTTTGCTCACTGTAAACTACAACAGAACTCCTGTAGTCTCCTATTCTCTATATCTCCATTCTTCATCCTGTCTACTTCCACCTTTCTAACTTGCTCAGTGTAATGTGGAACATCCTTTTACAAAACTACATACGATATTATAAAATTGTAAAATTAATTCTGACTCCTTTTATAGGACTGTTCTTGGAATCCTGAATCTTTTCCTCTCTCATATCCATTGCAGGAGTCTGCTTTCTCCTTTGACAATTCTTACTGACATTTTGGCGTATGTGATTTTGCTGACCACTCACTGCCAACATCTTGATACTTTTTTCCTTTGTATTTTTCCTCCAATACTCAATACAGAAATTTACTGCCTCCATTGGGGTCAGTGAAGCTATGATCCATGGTGAGCATGAGATGGAATGCCTCAGTGGGCATGCTGTTGGATCCTTACTGATTCTTGTAATGTGAGCATTTCTCTTACTGAGGATATAGTATGAAAAGATAAATGTATTATCTTTCAACTCAGCCTGCTACATAGGTCTGTTTCAGTATTGGAGGAAATCATGACTGTGTTGGACCTAAGAAAAAGGATGTGCTTGTGTATCATTTCAAATACAGTCATTTGTTACTCAGTGCCAAAGATCTATTCTGAGAAATGTGTCATTAGGCGATTTCATCATTGTGTGAACATCAGAAAGTGTACTCACACAAACCTAAATGGAATAGCTACCACACACCCAGTCTGTATGGTACAGCTATTGTTCCTAGGCTACAAAGCTGTACAGCATGTTACTGTATTGATTACTGCAGGCAATTGTAACACAATGGTATTTGTATACCTAAACATAGAAAAAGTACAGTAAATATACAGTATAAAAGATAAATAGTGGTACACCTATATAGGGCATTTACCATGAATGGAGCTTGCGGGACTGGAAGTTGCTCTGGGTGAGTTAGTCAATAGTGGTAAGTGAAGGTGAAGGTCGAGGACATTACTGTACACTACTGTAGACTTTATAAACACTGTAAGTTAGACTGCACTACATTTATTTTTTAAAAAGTATTCAATAATAAATTAATGGCTAACTATAACTTTTTTACTTTATAAGCTTTTTAATTTTTAAAAGCTTTTTGACTTTTTGCAATTAGCTAAACAATATCTTTATATCTTCATTCTGTAAGCTTTTTTGATTTTTAAATTTATTATTATTATTTTTTTACTCTTTAAACTTTTTTGTTAAATAAGACCCAGCTACACACATTAGCCTAGGACTATACAAGATCAGGATCATCAATTTCACAGTCATCCACCACCCTACATCTTGTCCTACTGGGAGGTCTTCAGGGGCAATAACACATAGGGAACTGTCATCATCTATGATAATCATATCTCCCTCTGGAATATCTCCTGATGGATCTGCCTGAGCCTGTTTAACAAGTAATTTTTAAAATATGTAAGTTGAGGAGCATATTCTAAAATAACAGTAAAAAGTATTGTATAATACATACATAAAATAGTAACACATTTATTATTATCAAGTATTATAAACTATACATGATTGTGTGTGCTATACTTTTATACTACTGGCAGCACAGTAGGTTTGCTAACACCGGCATCACCACAAACACATGAGTAATGCATTGTGCTAGATATTAGGATGGCTAAACCTTAGGAGTTTTTCAGCTCCATTGTAATCCTGTGGGACCACGATGTTATATGTGGTTTATTGTTGATTGAAACAACATTATGTGGCATATGACTATATATACACATACACATACATATTTATTCATACATACGCATACCTGTGTGTATATATGTATGTATACTATATATATACTTAAGGTTAAACATAACTTTCTGACACATTTATTATAATTTGTGTGTGTATATGGAATTTGTTTGTGGATTTACCAGGTCATTATATAAAATGCATTTCTTACTGTGGAATATGGTAAAAAATGCTGAAAGCTACCGTTATAGTAGAAAAAACATGGTAGGTAAAGTCAAAATATTACTGTTTGAGTGCCAGATCTGCTAACCTGGTAGCTTTGTGACAGTGGGCCAATTTCTAAATCTCTTTGAGCCTTTCTTTCCTCATCTATGACATAGGTTCTTACCAACGATCTCATAGGTCATCCAGTCATCTCGTGAATCCTATGCAAGTATATATGCCATATTCATCTGATAGCAGAAATTAATAAAGATTTTTTTCCTTATCTACTTTGGTTTTCTTACTTTAAAAAAGTTGAGGTAAAATATATCAACAGTGAAATGCAGTTTTTAAGTATAAAACTTAATGAGTTTTGGTAATTGTATAGTCTTGTGTGAACAATACCCGTGGCAAAGTAGAGAACATTTCTATCAGCCCAGAGACTTCCCTTGTGACCCCTTTCCATAACCTGCTGTCTCAGTCTTTTTTGTATTGTTATAAAGGAATACTCAAGGCTGGGTAATTTATAAAGAAAATAGGTTTATTTGGCTTACAGTTTTGCAGGCCTCACAGGAAGCATAATACCAGCATCTGCTTCTGGTGAGGACCTCAGGAAGCTTCCAATCATGGCAGAAATGGAAGAGGAGCTGATATGTCACATGGCGAGAGAGAGAAAGGTGGGCGGGGGGTGGGTGGGGGAGAGAGAGAGAGAGAGAGGAGAGAGAGAGAGAGAGAGAGAGATGGGGTTCCACACCCTTTTAAACAACCAGCTCTTGTGTGAACTAATAGAGTGAGAACTTACTCTTTACTGTAGGAAAGGCACCAAGCCATTAATGAGGGATCCACTCCCATGGATCCAAACACCTCCCAGCAGGCTCCAACTCCAACACTGTGGATCACATTTTAACATAAGATTTTGGAGGGGACAAATATTCAAACTATATCGCCTCCAATTCCTTTAAGAACCACCTATTCTGATTTCTGTTATTAGAGAAAATTTTGTTCTTCAACTTCATATGAGTGGAATAATGTAGTGTATACTCTTCCTTTTTCTTAGGTTCAGTATATCCTTGGACAGTCATCCATGTTGTTGCATTTATTAATAGTTTATTTCTTTTATAGCTGAGAAGTAGAAGTACACCGTTGACCAAATATGTACCATTTTGTTTATTCAGTATCATGACTGTACATATGGGCTCCTTTCAGTGTTAGCTGATTATAGATAAGTTGTTATAAAAGTTCATGTACAGGATTTTTATAGACATGTTTTCTTTGCATGGAGTGTAATTGCTGGGTCTTAGAGCATATATATGCTTAACCTTTTATTATAATATATGGAATTGCCAAACAGTTTTCTAGAATGCTTATACTATCTCACTGTCTTACCAGGGATGTATGAAAATTCTGGCTGTTGCATTTCCTTGCCAACATTTGACGTTCTCAGTCTTTTTAACAACAGCCACTTCAGTGGTTTGCAGTGGTAACTTACTGTGGTTTTGATTTGCATCTCCTTGAATATTAATATTGAAGAGCATGCTTTCATGTGCTTTTGGGGGGCTCATTTATATGTATTCTTATTTGAAATGAGTGCCTAGAATGCTGAGAAAAATTTTTAATTGGATTGTGGGTCTTTTATTCTTGTTGCAGTTATTTGTGTTCTGGGTTTGCATCGTTTGTTACAAATATGTTTTGTGATATTTTTCCCTAATATGTGGCTCAGCTTTTAATATTTTCATCTTTCAGAGAGGAGAAGTTATTAATTTTGCTGAAGTCAATTTATAATTTTTTCATACTTAGTCCTATGTGTGTCCTCTCTAAGAAATCTTTGCCTATATCAAGGTCACAGAGTTATTCTCAATATTTTCTTCTAGAAGCTTTATGGTTTTAGCTTTTAAGTATAGGTTTATGTCCCATCTAGAAATAATTTTTGTATGTGTTGTCAAGATAGTCAAAGTATTTTTTAATTGGAATATCCAGTTGTTCCAGAATCATTTGCTGAAAAAAATTTTCTCTGCCCAATGCTGTGTTTAAATTGTTCAAAAATACAGTGTAAATACAATGAAGGTTTGTGTTTAAATATATGAAATCTGCCAAAATAAATTTTATAGTGTTTTATGAATATATGAATTGTTTTTCAATATTGACCCTCTGCATGACTGTTTTAATTCTGAAGGAGACAGTGACTCTGTTGAGATTATTAAGCATGGTATTTGTTTATACTCTACTTTAAATTTATACATAGCTATGTAATCCTATCTAGTAAATCCTAAGCACTGCACTGTCCTGAGTAGCAAAGTAGGCTCTGGTGTGAAAAAAAATTGAGGAAACATTTTTTCCTCTATTAACACGTTAAACATTTCCATTAAAAAGGACCGTGTAAGCTTAGACAGTATGTTGTATGGTTTTTACACTTTTTCAAGAAAACAATATATTTTATACAAACAGAATTGGCATCTCCACCCTTGGTAGAGTAGATGTACTTGTAGACTAACAACTGAGACCTACATCTGCATCCACGATGATAGCTCATCTTTATATCTTCATCTTCAGGGGCATGTTAGCGGCCAGCATTGCTGTCACCCTGAAATGTGACATAAATTTCTTGAAATTGCCCAACAGCATAAGTGACTGGTGGCTTTATGCTTATCCCTCAAGTACTAAACCACTATCATTTAGTAAGCATGTATGTACTCATCATGTCAACACTAATAACCAAAAAGAAGATTTAACAATGATCTAGACTGACAGAATATATCAGTGCTGGCATTTGGTGAGGTAATTCTCAAAGAAGTATGTTTTTATGGGCATGAAAGCTACTACCCCCAAAAGCAAATGAACCTGTATAATGGGGTTTAGGATAGTGTTGCAGTGGAAAATCTTTGTTTGCATTTAGGACAGGAAGAGAAATGAATTTAGATGCTATCAAGCAATACAAAATTATAAAATACTGAAATGTGTTCCCATAGGATTAATACCCTCTATAGAAATTTATGAGAAAAGAAAAATACTTTGTTTTCTTCAAAAGCTATGTGTTGATACTTTCTTGAAAATGGAACTTTTGCCTAGATAACATATAAATATCGATTTCGTCTTATGTTTTTACAATTTCATAGTATTGAACAATAATTTATTATCATTAAAGCAAAACAATTTTGAAATTTAATCACAAAATATTTTGTGTATGAATGTATGATTTGATATTAAGTAGTAGTTGATAGATTTGAATCCCTGAAAGCATCTTTTTATACTTTTATCAAATTTTTGCAGTACTAGTCAGTTTAAGATCCACATGGGGGGAATAGGAGAGAATAAAATCTCTGGTGCATTTCCACATTTATCATTAGTCTTTAGCTCATTTTGACTTAGTCTGTAGCTCATTTTGACTCCCAGTTACAAACAAAAAATAAATACAATTTGCTTACGTGCTCCACTTTCTATTCCCTAGTATGTGTTATTATTATATCATTGATGTTTTATGAGATTTTTAAGGAGATTGTCCAAGTTTGTTTTGACCCATTTTAGAACCCCTGTCTCCTTCTCTGAACACTTTTATTTTGGACCCTTGTTCACCTGGCTGCAGCCAAATGGCTCAGAGCAGCTAAAAGACTGTTTCTGATGGGAACTTGGCATTAAAACTGAGAGGAAGCAAACCAGTTTGGGCTGATTCCTAATATAGAGGACATGTAAACTTTGGAGCTGTAGGTCTAATCTTCAGACAGAACAGAACAGTGAGGTAGAGATGAAGGAGAATTTCCTTGTTTTCCTGTGGCCTTCCAACAAAGTCTTTCAAGGGGCCTGGCTGACCTTGGTCTCTTGAGAAACCCCGGAATTTTTGCAAGATATGTCCTTTTCTGATGATTGTTTAAGATGGCTTCAATTGGTTTATGTTATTTGAAACCAAAAGGGTTGCAAAGGAGAACAGGACTGGTCATAGGATAACAGCAATCTCTTATAATGTTTCAGTTTGGGTTCTCCCAGAAGCAGACATTGAAATTAGGACTTGAGTGTAGAAACTTACTTGTACTACTACTAATTCCCAGCACTGAAACTAGCTAAGATGCCAAACAAACCTTATTAATTTCTAAAGAAAAAATATTTTTTATTTGAATGTTTGCTAGTCTAATTGTAATTATGTATAAATTAAAAACATCTGTATATTGTACACTATTATTTAAATTTTTTCCTTTTCAAACTCTACTAATCCTCGGAGATAAAAATAAGGAGAAAAAATGCAGTTATTCTCTGTTGACATCTTTATTTTTGCTTGTGTGTTAGGGTAAATATGTATCTCAGGTTTGCCCTTCATTCATTTTGGCTGAAGTTAGGCCCAAACTTATTTAGTAAGAGGTGCACAGTGTCTTACAAATTCCCCCAGAAATAGTAGACTTTGAGACAAATCATTTGAAATGCAGGTAATTTATTTTTGAGGTGATCTCAGGAAATGAGGAAACTAGACCTGCAAAAAAAGGAGCCCACATAGAATTTATTTTCAAGCAAGTTACTGCTATTGGTAACTGGTGCTTAATCACACTGGGAAACTTTAGAAGGTAAGCATACACAAGTGGAGAGGTGAGGGAGCTAAGATATTTACTTGAATTTCATCAGCCTTAGATTGAGAGCAGCTCCTAGGAGGCAATAATTCGCTGATATGTCATGCTTGTCATGTAGGGGCAAAGAAGCAGGCTCTGCCAGCCAGAGCCAGCCCTCAAGCAAGAAATATATAGGCCCTGGCTCGTAGAAGGTGGACAGATGTGCACTGAAGCCAAAAGGATAAGGGAAGGTAGTCAAATGCAGACACTGCAATGCATAGGATGCTATAATGTAAGATTATTTTAATCCCTTTTGGCTGTGTAATACAGATAAAACCTGCCAGAGTCCTTCGTGAGTTGAAAGTCAGTCACCTAAGTGAGGAGGAAGATGGCTTGTCAGCCCCATCTCCTCCTCCCACACCACCCCCAAATCAAGAAATGAATAAACATGAACTAGGCTTGGAAAATACCACCCCTGAAATGTTTCTGTGTGAATGAACTTTAGAATAATGCTGTTCTTTATTGAGCTGAGGTAAAATATTGTAGCTGCCTGATAACAGCCTGCCATATTACAAATCACCACTTGCAAGGTTATACAAGGTGCTTTTAGAAAAAGCTAAATGAATTATTTCAAATAGTATGTTTGTATTCAAAAGAGAAATAGCTGGTAGTTTGGGAGTGACAATCTTTTCTTTTGGTTTCAAAAGGCCCATTGCCATGTTCTGCCTTTCCATTTGCTGCTGGGAGCTAAAAGCCTGCAATGAACAGGTGAATACAAGATACTCCTAATTGAGAAAGAAAATAAGAAAAGAATTTTTGTGAAATAGTCACAAGGTCTTTCATTTTACTATTGTAATATTTATAGGCTTTGGGGTTGGTTAAACTAAATGTATTTGAAAATATAACACTTAGCTGATTCATTTTCTTAATCCTTCCTCAATTAGCTTTAACTTTTTAAAATGTTCCATCTTTTTAAATTCATCTTTATGTGTTAAATCTGGAGGAGTTCATTTAATTTCACTACTAATGATATGTCTCAAATACACACACATACACATACACATACACAGACATACACACACTCCTCTCACTGTAATCCTGTTATTTCTGCCTATCAAAGTGGAAACTAATTAATTAGCAAATTTGGTTTGTAATTAAAGGACATAGCTGCTCTTTTAGCAAAGGTGGCATGCAGGAGACAGTCTTTTCAGTGGTCTATGTTATCCTTTCCCTCTATCATTTAATCACTTATTGTATGAACAAGATCAAATAGCTCATTTTCTAGATAAATAATATTTTAGTGTATATTGCAACAACAGTATTCCGAGGGTCCCCATTGCATCTTTTAGTTAAGTTGTAAGTAAAACTTTAAGCTTAATAGTTCTCTGATAGTTTGTGAGCCCAAGCTCACTTAATCATTCTCTTTTAACAAAAATGCAAATTTCCTGTGATTACTCCTGAAGATCTATTTGTGTTTTAGAACATATCTTCATATTAGATAGTTGAAATTGTTAATCTGATGAGTTTCAGTGGGTAGGGGCAGGGATGTGAAACAGGATACTAGCTATTCAATTGTTAGTCATGTGAAGTTGTATTTGTGGGACTCCTAGGAAGACAGCAGGACCTTTAATGCCACCTAATTTTTGAGCTTCATGTTAGCTTTTTGATTCAATGACTATAATAAGCAATAGGAAAAAGGCCTAATAAATTGGATGATAAATATATATTTATCATATATATGATTCAAAATATGTATTTCAGAAAAAAAGAAAGGCAGTCGGAATGATGTGGTAATAAATCCCTACTCTATATGTCTCAATAAGTGTAAAATCGGTCAATTATTGCATGTCACAATAATAATAAGATCATTTGAAACTGTTAACGGTCTTTTGTGAATTCTTGCAAAAAGAGAGGCCTGTTGGGATAAGAAAGGATAAAGGCTATAGTAAAGGAAAAGAAAATAGCCAACCCATGCTCTTTTGTAGATTCAAAAAGTCACCAAGTTGAATTTGAAAATCACTATGGGAAGAAACAAACTGGCTTTCTGTTTAAATTGGAATGTAACTGCTATATTCGAGTACATAGAATAAAAAATGATTATGGATATATTCATTTTGGTCTTAGAGTTTTTGATTAAAGGAATAGGTAATAAGCATTTTTGGTTTGACATGTCACAACAAAGAGCCCTTTGGCAGATGCCTGAAATGCTGATAATTATTATTTTTAAAACTAGCGTTAAGGAACATAAAGCATATTAAAGTGATCAGTTAGTATTTTTTCAAAAAATGATGTGACTCAATCATTTCCTATATTTGCTGACTTTGGGACATAATTTCAGGTGCTCATAAAGAATATATATTGTTTACATCTTTTTTCTGTGTATTTGGCTGTATACCCAATTTACATGTCAGATAAAGGCAGGTTGACGTCAAATGAGAAATAATATCTGGTTGATGTTTTCAGATTGCATTTTGTGCAAAACCGTGTACCTGACTCTGCATTTTGAAAATCCAAGCTTCCCCTAGAGCTTTTATTTGATAACAATAAGGACAATGATGTCCCATGGCTTTCATCCTGGAGGTTAAAATGATATCCCTGAAATTAAAGCATTTTCTGATTTGCACAAAATATGCTATTCATTTAGGTGCAAGAATTAATTATAAATGTTACTCTATGGCAAGGATGTAAAACCAGTGTGTCAAGACCATTTCACCTCAAGGCTTGATGCACATTTTTATAAATTATTGAATATGAAGTAGTAATTAAGAGAATTTAGTAAATAGACATTAGTATTTAAAGTAACTTCATTTTATAAGAAACACAAAGCATTCACTATATTATGTACCTTTGTGAAGAGATGCTCAGATTTTCCTGTTACAAAGTTAAGAAAAATATTGTTGTATTTGCAGTAATATGTTTGGATCATAAAATATGAAAACAATTGATATGAATTATTCTAGTGGGAATTAACAGATTATCACTCTGCTAAACAAAAATAGTTTGTTGTTTCCATTACAGTAAACATTAATCATGTATCAGTAATATTTGGTTGAGACAATATGCAGCAACTCTTATTTTTAAAAATATTTTCAAAAAATGTAGTTGATAACTGAAGTAATGGAAAAAAGAATTGATATTACAGTAGCTGCTAGATCCCAAACATACTAAAAATACCACTGTGTTTTTTAAAAAGCATTAAAATATTCCATATTCTTTGGTGAATTACATATTTGTAAGAAATAATTTATAAAATTAGAAAGTAAGTGGTATTTTTTGTGAAAATTTCATAGCACTGAATGTGTTTTTTAAAATTAGGTTGAACAAAGTACACTTACTGCAAATGGCATGGAAAATGCAAATATAAAATTGTAAATTACTAATGAGTCTTTCCTTTGAGTTTTCTTGGAAGACACAATATATGGCAGTGTATGAAAATCAGGTTTGTTTCATGTAATTTTAGTGTTTATACTCAAGCTTTGATTTCTTGCTTTTTGCTTGCTTGCCTGTAAGGCATGATTGAATGTCAGTATGACACAGGTAAAGCTGACCAAGGTATCAGTTTTACATGTATTTGTTTTTAGAGAGAATGGTTTCTCTCTAGAGAAAAATTTTACTATATATTTTCTATGTATTTGTCATTTATTTTTCTATGAAATTTGTTTTATTTTTGACAATAATGTACACATACTTGTGGATACTTTCATGTATTAAACATATTCTAATAATTTAATTTAGCCAATACTAATTGAGTATAACCATGTTTTAAGCACTGTGCTAGATGTAGGAATCAAAGATAATAAAGCAATACTTGCTAAAAATAAGTCCACTAACCCCCCAAAAAAATTTATCAGAATTTCAGATAGGTTAGATTCCAGCTGAGATTTGATTAATTTCAACAAATGTTTGTTAAAACCTATATTTCAAATTCTTGAGAAATCTCTTTTAGTGTTCCAACTTTATTTCTACTTTTATTATTTCATGATATGGATTAATATGAGTATTTGATTTTGCTGACAATGACAGAAACGATTAATTCTGTGATATAACCTCAAATGGTTTGGCTGACAGATGGGTTTCAATGTAATTTCAGTTGGGGTTAATTTCACCTGGTTATATACAAAATGAGATCTTTTTATAAAGCAATCGGTGAGGTCAAGTGCTGGAAATGCACGATTCCTGAGTCCTCATTTCAGTGGTTTTGTACTAAGAGAATGTTGTATTTCCAGAGTTATCCAGATATTTGTATCCAAATACTGTGGTATGTGTCCTGCCACATCTTGATAAAATAAAGAAAGTAAATATATAGAAGTTCAAAGATAAGTGGAAAAAAATGAACTGAGAGAAGATACAGAATGTGAAATTTTGTTGCACTAAATTCATACCACAGGATAGGTGACCTTAATGAAATTCTGATGCACTTTACATTCTACATAAACCTAAATCCAAAAAAATAACTCAATGGAAATTATTATCTTACACTTTTAAGGGTAATCTAGAACTTTGGCCAAAGTTGTCAGTTCTTAAAATAAATATATCTAATGCCACAAATGAAAACTACCAGGTATACGCTCATGTATTTCCACAACTGATATTTATGGGGACTTTGGAGTGAGAAAAATCTCATTGTTACATAAGTGTTGTCAGAATTATTATACAATTTATGAGCTGTTTAGTATACTAAATACAAGACAGTGATCATGAGCTTTATAGTTAATCTTTACTGTGTTAAAATTAATGAATTCCAAAAATGTCTTATATGATCAGCCAAATGCCTCTGAAGAAGATAGGTAATATACGATTTAGCAAGCTAATTTCTAGCCTAGGGTCTAATTTGATTTACCTAAAATGGTAACAAAAGACATTACTTCTTCCTTCTGTAGCACTTGCTGGCTAATGCTGCCACTAATGGGAAATGGTTCATCTGTCTCTTATTTAGAAGCTTATTTACTTTTATACTACATAAATAGTATTGGAAAAAGCATATACACATCTCTTTAGTCATAGGACACTTTATATAATGCTTTTTGGTATTATTTTAGCAGATAGTAATGCATGGCTCATGTTATAAAATGGGACTAATTAGTTACAACTCATTGAGACAGGTGGGCTTCTGTCAAAATTAAAAACACTGCTAATGATACTGATAATTATAATCTTCCAGTGCAGAACTGTTAAGTAGTTCCATGGAGCTGGAGCATAGGCACATGTGGAATGAGGAGACTGGAGAAATTGACAAGGACAAAATCATGAAGAAATTTATGCCCTAATGAGTTGAGTACTTATCTTTTTGGTAATAAGGAGCAATTATAGATCTTAAGTAAAGGAGTAAAATTACTATATTTGCTTAATGCTACTTAAATAAGCAACTTTAGCACATTCATTTGGGATCCCTTCAGTTTTTCACATTAAAAGCTGTCATTATGGAATACAAGTGAATATGTCTGTTTGGTAGTCTAAAAGAAATATATTGCCAGTGACCAGATTTTAGGAGGAGAGAATTCTGGCTCTGAGAAATGAAAATATCTCAGATATCCCTGAAAAAGGATACTGGGAAACAAAAGCTACACTAACACTATTATGAATTGTTATTAAATTATGATTTTGTTATTAACAAGTATGTCTTAATTTTGCCCGGTTCTTATATTTTTATTTAGGTATTGTGCATACTCATTATACTTAAAAACAACAGGAATGGAAATACTCAGACCTAAAATTCCCCACAATCAGCTTTGGTTAAACTTGCTACAGGGAGATTGAGACTCTTCCTAAAGTGATTTTCCTGTAAAATGTAGCTTCGGAGTTAGATATATTTATCTACAAATATAGTTCTTGAAAGAGATCACCAGGAATTCCAGGTAAAAAAGCAAGATTAATGAAGTTTTCTTTTTTTAAAAAAAATTCTGAATACCAGTTCATTATAGAGATCAGATCTGTATCTAAGATGGCTTTTTCTTGGACAAAAGAGAACTGGAGATCAAAGGCTTGTTGGTAACTACTTGGAAATAGTGTGGAATTGTTAAATCCATGGGTGGCTGCCACTGTGTTCCATTTAGTCTAAACACACAGCTTAGCTTGGACCTCTCTGACAATCAGATTTTGGTAATAGAACTAAGAATTATATTGACAAAAGGTCATTCTACCCTTCCATCAAGAACCACAATCTACATTAATCTGTAAGATTTTGTAAAAGGAAGGTACCTGGCACTTAATACTTTATTTGAGACTCATCTGTCCTTTTATTGATAAGCACAATCTACATTAATCTTTAAGATCTTATAAAAGGCAGGTAACTGGTGCTTATTACTTCATTTGAGCCTCAAACAAAGCTTTTTGAGATAAATATTAGTATTACCTTCTCATTGATGACAGAGCCAAGGTCCATGCAACTAGGGAGTGTCCCAGCTCAGCTTGGACCCCAGCTCTGACTGGCAGCAAAGCCTAGGTTCTATGTATAGCACTACATGGCCTTCCTGACAGCAGTGGAAGATCCTCGTCATATAGCCACACCTACATGTAACAGATTCTACCCTGTATAATGTTAACCACATAAAACTGCCTTGAAAATTAGACTTATAGAACTGTACAATGTATTTGAACATATTTTCCATATCAGAGTACAGTTAAAAACACATTTTTAAAAACTAATTCTGATTAAAACTTTTTATTTGTGCTTTATTGATGCAAATAATAATATTTTTAGGGCTAAGTGGCAATGAATATGGTGGGTAAAAAATTGCCTTGGAGTGGCTTTTACCTTTCTGTGGTCCAGAATTTACTATCACAAAAATTATCATAAAATATGAAGCTGATTATTTAATCAGGTGATCAGAGCAAGATTTATTATTTTCAATCGAGAAATGTTTTCTGTCATATGATTTTTATTTCAGTGAATCTAAACCATTCTCCTCTATTTTCCTGACTATATTAACAAAATAAAACATTGAGAAACTACTATTATTTATGTACAAGGGTGTTTATTCATCATAGTAATATATAATGAAGTAATGAATAATGAAATTATAAATTGAATGATGGAATGAGGCAATGGAGTGATTAAAAAAAAAGTTATAAAACTGAATTCCCAGTCAGTTGTCATGTGATGTACCTTTGCATGAAATACTATATAGAAGGAAAATATAGTATTTGAAGAAAATTTAAGGACTAAATGATAAGAAAAATCATAGAACAAAAATTATATATGCAATATGATCCTGACATAAATATTGGAATGTATATACCTAAAGTTCTGAATTCTGAAATTATCCATGATTATTTTCATTATAGTTTTGGTAATTTCCAGTTTTCTTACAATGGCCATACATTTCATTTAGAATCAGAAAAATATTATTAAAAACAAACTCTTGCTATTCTGGCCTGTTGCCTCTAATAGACATAATTCTTTGTCTTTTGAAATACATCCTCTTTTGCTTCCTTATCTATTAGAGCACAAGACTGGTTTCTCTCCTGGGCTGTGCCTTGGTAAGTGAAAACTTGGGAGAAGAACAATTTCCCTTTTCCTAATTTTCTTCTCTTTGAAGTGAAGTCATTGCACCTGAGGTCTATTTCTGTACCATCACTGGGTATGCTCCAGAATGCTGTCATGCCTGAGAGGTCACCCTGATGGGGACATGTGCAGAGCTTGAACTGCCTCCCAAGGGTCACCAATAGGAACATTACTTATTTTCATGTACAGGTTGAGTATCCCGTATCTAAAATATAGAAGAGTTTTGGATTTCTGATTTTTTCTTCAGATTTTGGAATATTTATATATACATAATGGGATATCTTAGGGCTAAAACTCAACTCTAATCATGAAATTCATTTATATTTAATATGTACCTTATACACATAGCCTGAATGTTATTTTATATGTTTTAATAATTTTATGAATGAGACAAAGTTTATGTACATTGAACATCAGAAAGCAAAGGTGTCACTCTGTCAGCCACACTTGTGGACAATGTATGATTGTCTGGCATCACTGTCATTTCTGACTCTAAATTTACATGCCCGTGATCCTCAGCCATTTTCTTACACCTGTTCATACGTAAGTACTTAACAGTAAGAAGTATGACATACCATTAATACAATGAAAAAGGTCATTCATCTGTTCAGGGTAACTAAGCAACACAGTAGCATCACCAGAATATCCGTATTAACCATTAAACCACGGCAACAACAAGCAGTGCCAGGCTTTCAGTCTATCTATGACACTGTGTTACTATAGACTGGAGGAAACGTTTAAAAAACCCATCTAGCAGAGTGCGTCTTTATCCTTCAGGGATCCACTTCCTGGTCCCCCAACTGCATCTCATGTTTCTTCTCACCTAGAACAGTAAAGTAAGTGCACAGTAACCCTTTAATCAAAACACAGCATTATAGATGGAAACTGAAAACCTGCTGTTGTTTGTGCCACTGCTGTTTAACTGCTAACATAGGTATTCTGGTCTGTGGCATCATGTCGGCACTCAAAAAGCTTCAGATTCTGGAGCATTTCAGATTTTGGATTTTTGGATTAGGGATACTCAATTTCTATTGGTAACTAGTTAAACATGCTTCAGGCTTGAACAGAAGCTGGGTCGTCGTAGAGAGCAAAAGGAGAAAAAATTTTCTGTAATTGGGTAAAGACCAGAAGATGGATGTGAGTTTATGCTTCTGGGGAAAAAAAGCAGGGTACATGCTCCATAGTTTTAGCGTTTCACAAATAAAATCTTATTGGGAAGCAGGTTGAGTGATAGGTTTAAAACTCTTAAAGTAGGTCAGGAAAAGAGGGAAATATGTGGCTGAAGGTAGTGGTGCAACTTATAAGCAAGCAAAATATGGACTTTTCTCATTGAGCAGGGGAAATAGCCCCCAGCTACAGGGGCCACCTCTGCCCAGATATCAGAGGAAAACAAACTGCTTGAAGACTTTCAGGCACTAACTTAATATTCACAGTAACTTTTGAAAATAAATATGAGTTATTCGAGGGAAAGTAAAAATTAGCAATAAATGAATGCCTGTTGTAGAAGGCTTAATTGCTTCATGCAGCTATAAAGAATAATCTGCTCTGTTATTTATTTCAAATATTTTTGAGTTTGATAGTTTTAATAGAGCCAAACAGATAATATGCAACCTTATACAAAAGAAGGAATCAGTGTGTATAGCACTGGTTATGTGCTAGTCAATATTGCAGTGTTTTACATTTCCTTAAATCCATTTAACAACCCACTAATAGAGTTGATGATAGGGATGACAACAAAAATCATAACAGTGCATTTTATTGCAAACTATATGTCTAGAAGAATGCTGCACTTCAGTGATTAAGATTGGGACAGAAGATCTACATTGCCAATGTTCAAATCCCAGTATTAATACTTACACCTTAATTTACCTTGGAAAAAGTTCTTATCATTCTGCAAACCTCAGTTTCCTCTTTTGTGAAATGGAAATTACATTTGACCTAATATGTTTAGCAGTTTGAGGATTGATCTGTATGAAGCCTTAATAAAGCACATGGCATAGGATGTGCTTAGTGAGATAGCCGAGGCTGGTTTTCCTCTACCACTACCTTGTTAAGCATCTGCACAACCAACTAATGGTGCACACACTGGTTTAACCCTATATGGGGAGACAGGATTAAGGAATATAGGTAACTAGCTCAGAGTCACACGGTTTATATGGATCCAAGAGTTTCTGTTCCCATATTCCATATAGTTTCTCTTCAGTGTAACCTGCATTTACAGAAATAACTACTGCAATCTCCTTCCCCTGACTACTGGAGTAACAATGCTGCCCCTCTGGCAGTTTTTGAGAGGAATAATTTAAATTCTTCTAAAGTAGATACAAGTATGTATTAGTCCGTTTTCATGTTGCTGATAAAGGCATACCCAAGACTGGGCAATTTACAAGAGAGGTTTAATGGACTCAGTTCCACGTGTCTGGGGAAGTCTCACAATCATGGTAGAAGGTGAAATGCACGTCTCATGTGGCGGCAGACAAGAGAAGAGAGTTTGTGCAGGGAAGCTCCCCCTTATAAAACCATCAGATAGTGAGACTTATTCACTATCATGAGAATAGCAAGGGAAAGACTCACCCCCCATGATTTAATTACCTCCTACTGGGTCCCTCCCACAACAACACGTGGGAATTGTGAGAGCTACAATTCAAGATCAGATTTGGGTGGGGACACAGCCAAACTATATCAAAGTAAGAAGCTGGGAAAAATGCTAACAGTTTACAAGGTTCCCTGGGTTTATTCAGCTTGGAATCTAATGTCGGGGCAGAGGTGGACCCTGTAGCTGGGACTCAAAATCTAAAATATTTCCCTAATGCTGAGATGAAGATTATTGTTTTGAGGGTTTTTTTTTCTTTCGGAGTTGGAGTCTCACTCTGTCCCCTAGGTTGGAGTGCAGTGGTGTGATCTTGGCTCACTGCAACCTCTGCCTCCCAGGTTCAAGCGATTCTCCAGTCTCAGCCTCCTGAGTAGCTGAGATTATAGGTGCTCATCACTTTGCCTGGCTAATTTTTATTTTTTTTTTAGTAAAGACAGGGTTTCATCATGTTGGCCAGGCTGGTGTGGAACTCCTGACCTCAAGTTATCTGCCCACCCCGGCCTCCCAAAGTGCTGGGATTACAGGTGTGAGCCACCACAACTGGCCTTGTTTTGAGTTTGTAAGAAAATTTGTGTCAATATAGTTTACCAACTTAGTTTATGTAAAAGCGTATAGGATGGTTTTACCTGGGGTACTCTAGTAGTATACCTAGTATTCTGAGATGGAGTACCAGGATATAACAGTAAATTCCAAAAGGGTTTGGTAAGGACTCACAGGCAAACAACAACTATTTCTACATTGTGTGTGTGTGTGTGTGTGTGTGTGTGTGTGTGTGTGTGTGTGTGTGTGTTTTAAAGCATGAGGAATGAGGGTAAATACAGCACTGCATGGTTGTTAATAGTATTTACAGAAATGGTTACTTCCTTTGAACTGTGAGAGTTCGACTCCCTGCTCTGCAGCTAGTGCATGGGCTAGTTGTTCACCTCTGTGTTTCTTAGTGTTACATCCATAAGATGGAGATAGCAATAGTATCTACCTCATGAAATTACAACAAGCTTCAATTAATTAGTGCTTAGAATAATGTTGGCACTTATTTAGCATCCAATCAAAATAACAAAAGTTGTTATTTTCCTCTGATATGTCATGTGGACTTCTGACTCCAAAATCAAAACTAGTGTTGGTAACACATTATAGATCAGATAGAATTCTCCAGGCTACCCTAAAAAAGTAGCTACATTTTTTGTTTCTATGAGAAAATGTGTTCTGGATTTCCAAGGATGGATGTTAAGGAGACTTTGGGAAGATGATCTATTTGTAAATTGAAAGCTGCCTGTTTATTTTTCTCATATTAAATAGTGCCACTGTCTACAGTGATTACATTTGCATGATCTTGAGCAGAGTTTATCTTAGCATAACTCTCAGGTATGGTCTTGACTCACAGCACATATTTAAGAACTCATGGGAGAAACAACAGCAATATATTTTTATCACTAACATTTATTTTGGATATACAATGTGCTGTGTACTTTACTAATACTTTACATGCATTATCAATTTAGTTGAACAATTGTTTCATGATGTATTATTCTTATCCTTTTATAATCCCTCCGTAATCCATTCCTTCAGTTGCCTTCAGAAGTTTCAGAAGTTAGAGCATATTGCCAGTCTTCTCCAAGCTCGAACTGCTTGTTGCAGTTAGAATGAAATCCAGTGTCCTATTCTACTCCCGCATCTGGCTGCTGTCTATTTTATGACCTGATTTCATACCACGTTCATTCCACTGCTCATTTTATGCCAGCAGTGTGGGTTTCCTTTCTTGCTTGACTAAATACTGGCTTTCTCCTGTCTTAGGGCCATTATAGTAGCTGCTTACTTTTCTGATAAAGATCTGCTTACTTTTCAAAGATCAGTCCCAGATCTTTGCATGACTGATTCCATCTTATCATTCTTGCCTCAGCACAGAGTGGTTTTCTGTGGATGGTATAAATCAAGTAACCTCCTCACTCCCCTCTGTCTCATAATCATATTTGCTTTTATTGAAAACATTTGTCACTAACTTAAATGTCTTAAATTATGCATATCTTATCGCCTGTCTCCTTGTGGTTCACTGTACCTAGAAGTGTACTTGGAATATATCAGTGATTCAAATATTTGTTGAATGAAATAGTGGGT
Source organism: Homo sapiens (assembly GCF_000001405.40). NCBI lineage: Eukaryota > Metazoa > Chordata > Mammalia > Primates > Hominidae > Homo > Homo sapiens. The sequence goes on along the minus strand of NC_000006.12, from coordinate 62,254,283 downwards.
ACAGTTTAGCAAGGTTACAAATGTCTCCTTTATCTTGAGCATAGTAAAGTGGCAGGACTCTGTAGCACTTTAATATAAAGTATTCTGTGCTCTGAGGTGATAGACATATAAAATGCAGGAACAGCAACTGAAACAAAACTATAAAACAAATGTTATCATGTAATTGTTTTTTGACATTTATTTTTTCAACACTGTTCCTACTTTACTGCTTGTTGCACCTTTACTTCCCATGTGAATGAGTTTCTGTCAACAGTGATGTTGTGGATCAGTCATTTCAGTCTTTGTTAAAAGTTAGGATTCTTGCTTGTGTTATTCCCCATGCTGCTAATGGGATAATTCCTCAAATAAAAGAAGAACTCTGACATCCAGTCCTCAGGGCTATGTAAATGCAGAAAAAATATTCTCCACTGTTATACCAGAAATAGCAAAATTTTATGATTTTGCAATAATAATGCTAATTGCAGTGTAAGTTCAACATTCAAGTAATTTAAGATTATTTAAGGAAAGGTGAGAATGCATTTGGGCCTCAGGGTCAGATGGAAATATGGACTCCAGGGACACAGGCTGTTATTGTAATAATTATTACAGTAAAAATCATTACAAATATATTGCAAATATAATAGGAATTTCTTCTTCCTCTTCCTCCCCCTTCTTCTTCTGTGTGTCAGTTTTATTCATTCATAGATTTTTTTTTAGAGGAAAAGAAACCTGGATTTCAAACAAACAGCTTTCAAACTGTACAACTTGCATTTTAGCTAAGATAGAGGGACGGAAGAAAAGGCCAAAGAGGAGGAGGCAGGGTTGCAGGGGGAATAGAGACAGAGAGAGATTGCCCTAATGAATTTTCTGATCCTAAATACAAAAACCCTAGGGATGGGTCTCATTGACCCAGCTTTGGCTCAACTAGCCCTTTTCAGGGGAGGACCATATAGAGGACAGTCTGTAATTTTGTGCGAATATGGATAAATTATGTGTAATTCATATATAAACATATACAAAGCAAAAAACCTCCCTTGATTAAAATGTAAGACAATCTTGATACTTGATAGCATTACTGTATACCAAACATTCCTGGAAATGATGTTGCAGAAATAAAAGATACTCACTGGCTTCAAAAATCTCATAATGACATTTGGGATAGGTTAAACAAACAATAATTATAAAGCCTGCTCTGTTTTTTGTAAAGAATATAATGTTGTATATGCTGTTTATAGAAATCTCTGGGGTAGGTGATCCATGGAACAAGAGAAAAGCCACCCAGTGTTACACTCTGAGGCTATTACTGATCATATCTTCATATATGCCATTCTAGTTGCTTCAGTTGCTCTATAGTATAACTTGGGTTTTTTATAGTTATGATCATAATTTACATGCAGTTTCTATTTTGTGGGTTTTACTTAATATTCTACTTAAGATTTTACAAATCTATGATTCAGATTCAAATTATCAATAGACTGACCTGAAGAAGAAGAGAAACTGGAAAATTCTGTGAAAATATCTTCATTTGAATAGGAGTTTTAGAAATAGAATATTTTGAGCAGAGAAAAAGAAGGGCATTTGTGCCATTTGTTTTCTATTCTTTTAAATAATCAAAAGTGCTGTCATAAAAGATTGAAAGTTATTTTAACTTTCTCTGTGAAACTTTGAGACAGGTAAAAATAAAATCAGTACATAAGTATTGAGCTGACTCATCCAGAGGCTAGTAGGCATTATGATTAATGAAAAGAAATCTGATACAGTCCTTAGCTCAAGGAGTACATAATCTGTTTGGTTGGAAATGATAGAACTGGTAAAAAAAATCCAATATCTATAATAAGATTTGAATAGCTGTTCAAGGTAATAATTAAAAGACATAATAGAAAATGATACTTATTGCTAAACACATGAAAACATTTGAGTCTGAAATAGTCAGGAAAGGTGTTATTCAAATAGGTAAGATAAAATTGATCTTAACGGATGAATGAAGACCAGCAGTGATATGATGCTGGCTGGCATGTTGATAAGAATGAAAGCATAAAGACCCCAAAAGTATGAAGTATTGCTGCAAACAAGTCTACCATGAAATGTTCTTCTCGAGTAAATCTAGTACTGATAATATTGAGTGGTATCATCAAGCAATGAATATTTATTTTTTTGTCAAAGCCTATTAAAAATATCAAAACCTGAAGGAAGGAACACATTTCTAAAAATTTTATTATACCTCTCCTCATAAATTTAGTCAATAAATATTATTATGTGAAATGCTATGCCAAGAATCTTCTCCTCCTCCTAGGGAAGCTATTCATTCATGTTCACAAATGCCCCACTTTGAGGTATTATAAATGGTTGTGGAATTGTATTTTTAAATATTTTAACATTTAGTAGGATTTTTATTATCCTCACAACTTTTAATATTATTTATGCTTTATCTTTAATACTACATTTACTATTTTTTAATAATAGCAAATTTTAAGTAAAAATGTGAGGCTTTGCATATCTGCAGGAAACAACCTATTTTTGGTTGATTTTCAAAATTATTTCCATATTGTGTGATTACATCAAATGTAGTGTTAGGTATATATGCAGGCAAGAGTTTTAATACCTGCAATTGTTATTAAGTAGGCATCCTCTAACCTATCTTTGGGGATAATTGTACTACTTCAATTATTTATTGAAATTCCTCAGATTCCTTTGCTATGTATAACAAGCTAATATTCTATTATTTAACAAAACAGAATTGTTGTAAGTGTAGGGACTTTGGATTTGGACTGCTTAGGTTTAATCTCACCTCTGCCATTTACAGTCTATGTGATATGGATCCAGTTGTTAACCTCTCTGTTCCACATTCAAATATTTTATTCTAAAATAATTGCAAACTTAGATGGAAATTGCAAGAATAAAAATAGTTCATAAACACCAATATACCCTTTACCCAAATTTACATATTTTTACATATTTGTGGTTTTTTAATTAGCCATTTGAAGATATAACTTATCTTCAAGTTATTCAATATATTCAATATTTTTATGGCAGTGTTCATCATGACTTTAATCATTTGCTGAGAGTGGAAGAGCATGTTCTTTTCCTAAATATGAAAGCTACTTTTCTGAATATAACTTATAGTTATATTCAAGAATATTCAAGATATTCAATATAACTTATAAGTTATATACATCATGATTCTTTGCCCGTAAGTAGGTCAGTGTGTATTATCTAAAAGTAGAGATATTCACTTACATAGCTACAGTTTAGTTATCAACCTCAATGATTTAACTTTGATGCAATACTTTACCAATCTTAATAAGATTGTATCATTAACACAGTAATATTCTTTGTAGTATTTCTTCCTTCAGTACAGCATCCAGCTTGGGACCAAATGATCTATTGAGGAGTCTCTTTAGCCTCCTTTATCTAAAACATTTTCTATAACTTGTCTTTGTATTTGATGACTGATATTTTTGAAGAATACATTTTATCACCCCTTTTTAAATAGAAATAACCTTCCTTATTTCTTTTGTAATTAATATTTTTTTCTCCCTTACAACTTGTGAGTCTGTGATGAGACGCTTCAATACCGTGAAAATATCTAGTTTCTCCTAGATTTAGCATCCATTGATAATTCATATCTTGTCTAGTCTTTACTAAGAAGATTAAAAAAATGTTGGTTTTCCAACTACAGCACTCCCTCCACATATACCAGCCAGCCTTCAACATTTTGCTAAAAGCAAGGGCTCTCCCTTTTCCTGCCTTCCTGCCTTCCTGCCTTCCTCCCTCCCTCCCTTCTTCCTTCCTTCTTTACTTCCTGCCTTTCTTTTGATATGAGCTCTAATTTTCTATATCTGAAATGTTTCCTAAATTACATTATAGAATTCCTCATAGAAGTTCACTATTTAAGTACACAAAACAAATGGATAGAAACAGTTTTATTAGAATTACAAGACACTTGTCTAATTACACTTTAACTTAGATCAGTCAAAGCGAGTTGTGTACTAAAGTTTGTCATTTTATGGTATTATTTACAGGAAATATCAAGAGATAATGTTATGTATGTGGATAAGCATGTCTAAACAATAATTTATAATTACAGTATTTCATTAGCAATAGCTGATCGTTTGTCCTCTTTTATAAGTGAACTTTTCTTCATTTGTCAGGAGAGTCAGCGTGCACTTTGTATTCCTTAGGACTGACTTTTGAAAGTTTTCTGGATAGCAGACTATTGCCCCTAGAACTGTTCCCATTTATCATCTTAAAGCATACGAAAGTATTTTTCTGTAATTTAATTCTAGTACTCAATGCAAGAACAGAGTGCTACAGTTAATAAAGAAGATAATTAAGAGACAACATGGGGATAAAATTGGTGCCTTAGTGGATCTTCAGAACATCCTAGGAAGCTGCCTTTTAAAATGTGAACTTTAATTATATAAATTTATATTAGTTATTTAAAGCAAGGTTTTTTATGGCAGTGTTCATCATGACTTTAATCATTTGCTGAGAGTGGAAGAGCATGTTCTTTTCCTAAATATGAAAGCTACTTTTCTGAATAATTCCACATAGAAAAGAGTGCTTTTATAGAGAAATAGAACACAAGTCATGCATTGGTTTTCATATGGACAGCAAGCAGGCGGTTTTCAATTACAGTTAAATGGCCGCCTGCATTCCACAAACTATAGGAGGTAAATGTGAAAGTTAGTTTTTTTGTTGTATTTTATATATTTCCTAAGTTACTTAATATTTATGAGTTAAGGGAAGAGAAAATTAATGTTTGCCCAATATTGTATATTTTCTTTTGAAAAATTAAAGTAGGCTTTAACTATATAATTATCTAGACAAGATTTTGGTACATTAATATATGTGATTTATGATGAATATCCTTTAGTGTTCAATAATTTTCCTTGGAAACTGATATTTGAAAATAACTTTTAGGTTAAAATATTCTCTTATTATTTTGTAAAGTGTGCCTTATACTATACTTTACAAAATCTACTGAGGGAAGCTTATAGGGTGAGATATTCATTAAGGACTTATTGATTTTCTGTACTTTTAATCAGTGTGACTATAGATACGGTGAAATGACATGTACCTATATCCATAATTATGGCATTTAAGCAATAGTGGAGCAGCTTTACTGAGAATTTTTACACATTTGACCTATAAATTACTTCAAAGAATTTATATAGAAATGACTGAATGGACATCTTCAAAGCATCTTTTGAAACAGATTCTTCAGCACTGAGTTGTAAAAAAATTGATTAGCCTCATTACTTTTCCACAGACATTTTCCTGAATGTACATGGTCAAAATGTAAAGAATTATTTATCCAAAATATTACATTTAATATGATAGCATCTATGCTAGTTTTGTTTCTCTTCTCTCTCTATCCCAGGTTCTTAAATTTAAATGCCCTCATTGTCTTTCGAGCACAGTTTTTACTATCTATGTTTGTTGACTTCGCTTACCCTGTAGTTGTCTTGCTGTGTTTGCAGTGGCAATGGTACAGCATGTTTACTTTGTAATTATTTTGTAATATACCTTTTGCCATTTAGAGTTTTCCTCAAAGTAAAATCAGACAATTCAATTGAGCTCCCCATGAGTCTTTTGAAGATGAAGATACAATGCCCTCATTAATATTGAAGACACTAATATCTTCAATAATTCAAGGTGACTCATGACTGTAATCCCAGCACTTTGGGAGGCTGAGGCAAGAGATTACTTGAGTTCAGGAGTTCGAGACCAGCCTGGCCAACGTGGTGAAACCCCGTCTCTACTAAAAATTTAAAAATTAGCTGGACGTGGTGGTGCGTACCTGTAATCCCAGTTACTCGGGAGGCTGAGGTGGGAGAATCGCTTGAACCCAGGAGGTAGAGGTTGCAGTGAGCTGAGATTGCACCACTGTACATCAGCCTGGGTGACAGAGCAAGACTCTGTTAAAAAAAATGAAAAAATAAAAAATAATAAAAGTAAAATAATATTGAAACTGGATTAGATGTTTTGCTGGGCCCCAGTTTTTTTTTTTTAAAATACCACAAGCTGTCCTTTATTGTCCTAATTCATTTAATTACCCATTCTCTTGTGTTAGTAACTGTCTCTTTCTTTCCTTTTATTTTTATTTTTGGAATTATAGAGGTATTGAAAGCTAGAATACTCACAACCTTAATTTATGCTAATTTAATTAAATTTATCTTGTGACTACAACTAGGTGTAAAGTGGAGCTAACAACTCTAGGCTAATAACTGATAATTATTAATTTATGGGTAACATTTCCTGTTTAGCAAACTTATCTAAAAATAATTTAGAGGCTGAGATTTGAAATGCTCTACTTGTTTTCGACTACTATTCCATTTAAGGAAATATAAAGAAAAAGTCATAGCATTCTGGGAAAACTCTTTTTAATCTCTACTGAAACTTTATGGATTTTAAAAAATGGAGATATTCTCTGGGGAGTTCCTTGAATAGAAAATACCTACCTATGGCCTTTTCTTTGACATGAGGAGTGAAAGTATTAGTTCCTTGGTATTCTAATCTTTTACAATTATTGGTAGAATTAATTGAAATTTAATTGTTATTGTGCAAAAGGCTTATAGGTTTTATCTCTTCATAGCGATGATTGCTCCGGGAAGTAGGAGCCATCATTTGCTCTCTTTTACAAATGAAAGATGTGATGCTTAGAGAACCTAAGACAACACAGTGAGTAAGTGGAGCAGGAAGGTCTGGAATCCAAGTTTGCTGGGCCTCAAAAGCCTACATTTTAAATAACTTTGATATAAGAGATTTGTGAAATATTTAGTGTAGTTGGTTTCTCTATTTAAGATATACCATTGTTACTTTAGTACAATTCTGAAAAATCTCCTCTTTCTCTTCAAAAGCTAGAAATTTCTTGTTTGTGTTAAATAATATGAGATACAGTATAAGTATATACTCTCTTTGGTGCTAGGCTGGCGCACTAGTAATGCGGAGCAATGGCAAACACCACACTTACTTTTGCATCAACCTAGCACCAAAAAGAATATATGCTTACACTATATCTCATGTTATTTACTTTTAATGGCAAAAAACACAATTATGTTTGCACCATCCTAATAATTTGTATTATAATATCTCTGGAAATAGAACTTAAACTTTATACTAGAGTTGTGGCCCTAGTAGGTAGATTTTTAAATGCCCAGAAATGTTAACTTTAATACTGCTGGTATCCACAGGTGTGAGACCAAAGAGTTACTATTTCTCTATACTTTAAGAGGAAATCTGCTTCCCTTCTCTCCCAGGAGACAGTTTGTGTGAATATGTTTGGAAATTGAACAAATAGCCTTGATCTTGATAATGAATTGTTGATAAAATTCTTTCAAACATATCTTTTGGCCTAGGATTTGGCAGTCAACATGTTTTATAAATAATACTTAAAGTAATTTGCTGTCAGGTAATTATTCAATGTTACTACTTTTTATGATTTACTTGCTAAATTTTAGTTTCTTTTAAAAAATTATATTTATATATAATTGGCTTATTTCATTGAAATTGAAATCATTACTCACAGCTGAGTAATATCTTGACTTACCAAATTAGGAAAAAATATCTTAATATCAGAAATCACTAAAATATGTATAGATATATTTCCCTGAAAGCTTCATTAAAGATACATGGGGGTTGATTTTTCTATTCCTACTTTGTCAGCATTTGAAAATGGCTCTATGTCTTTCTTCCTAAAGTTGACTTTGATTAAATGTCCTATGTACTATGCACTGAAAGGTTCTTATTTCTTTTATTTTGCAAAGCAGGATATTTAAAGTTTGTGAGCTGTACACTGCAAAGAACAAGAACAGAATTGGGTTATATAGCCTCCCTGTCTAAATGATAAGTAAATCTAAGAAACCACATGTGAAAAATGAACTATTAGCAGTAGAAAAGAAAGGAGAAGTGAATGTTTTTCTTATAGAGTATCTCAGATATATGTTGGCAGAGAAAATATGTTTTGTGACATACAAAATTATGTAAGTCCAGCTAGCCTATATAATTTGCTGACTACTTTAAAAAGAACTTGCCTGTATCCTCTTTTGTAGATACTTCACTATGATAAGAACATCCTATTTTAATATACATTCCTCTTCTTTGTGCACTCTTTTACAGATAAAACAAGGTTAGCACTAGCTTATCTGAGTAGCTTTAACATTGATTATATATATATATATATATATATATATATATATAAAATTGATTGAATTAATGTTTCTATGCTGTAGAACTCATAAAATACTATATTCTCCTCAGCAGAAAGTCACCTTTACTTTCTTGGTGTGAGCAAGGTTTGCAGTTCCTGCTGCATGGCCCAGGGTACCACAGCCCTGAGGTTGTGAGGTCCAGATGTTTATTTGACTGGCCCTGCCCATTCTTGTATTCAAAGTCACAAACCTCTGCAGATACAATATGAAAACATAGAATGGCAAATGCAAACTGCTCTATTCCCTAGAGATGACATTCTAAAGACGTGAGAGAAGATCCAAAAAGGCTGACTTCAGAGATCTGTAATAAAGATTTATTGAAACAGATTAAATCTGTTTCTAAATCTATTTCTATTTATCTAATCTTCAATTAGAACATATTATTATTTGCCACATAAGTTCATATATGATGTGTCTGTAAATTGTATGACACTCATATTCCTATAAACTGTCTTCAACAGACTGGCATTGGCACATAATTTATCCTATTTTATATTAAAATATATTGAATCTTTTAAAGATATAAATAAACATTGTTTGGGATGATCCTGGCCAATAGTTATTTCAATAATTGCATTTATTTAGGCCTGAACTTTATGGCCAACTAAAATTGCTTGAAGTAGAAACAGAAAGAAAATCAAACATAATTATTTGATGTCAGGTTTTCAAAGGATTTCAGCCACTGTTTTGAATTAGCCACATAATCCACAAAGGTTTTTTTTGAGTAGTGAAGCCAGGATTTTCTTTGCATGGACTACGTAGGGTTAAAACATTCAATTAAAATTTTCTTTTTAATGTCTCTGGGCAACAGAGATGACATTTATGAGATTAAAATACTGGAAAGACAACCAAAAATATGTTGAAAAGTAACAGGGAGAATAGCAGAAACAAAGAGAATGCAGCAAATCTTCTAGGAAGCATTAACATGATGAAGAACATTTTTGATTTGCACTTTCCATGTTGTGTTCAAGTATTCAGTAATGAGTCTCCAAAAACCCTTCTAGTCGCATGAGAATGTTGGGTCTGTTTTCAGTTTTCTAGTATATAGGGATCTTGGGAATATGCTGTAGAACTTGTAAAATATTATATTCTCCTCCTCAGCAGAAAGTCACCTTTACCTTCTTGGTGTGAGCAAGGTTTGCACTTGCTGCTGCGTGGCCCAGGGTACCACAGCCCTGAGGTTGTGAAGTCCAGATGTTTATTTGGCTGGTCCTGCCCATTATTTTATTCAAAATCACAAACGTCTGCAGATACAATGTGAAAACATGGCCGGCCAAATGTAAACTGCTCTGTTCCTTAGAGGTGACATTCTAAAGACCTGACAGTAGATACAAAAAGGCTGACTTCGGAGATCTGTGATAAAGATTTATTGAAACAGATTAAATCTATTGCTTAATCTATTTCTATTTATAAGCCTACAATGGGACCCTGGATTGGTACTATGGTGACTCAATTCACCTGCCTAAAAAGAAGATGTTGAAAAATGAAAAAAAAATTGTGTAAATATCTGAGCTATGCTTCTCCAAAGATCTAGCCAATTGTCCTTAATTTATTCTCAAGATATTATTTTAATTAATACTTGACAATAGCCATGTGCTTTCTTTATTATGTCATAATGTTGACACTTGTTACTCTTCTCTCACTTCTCTCTATTCTCTTTGTTTTTTAAAGCAGAACTAGGAGCACGGGCAGATGAATTTAAACTTCCTTTAAATCCTTTTTAAAAAGAATAATCATTTAACAGTGGGAAGAGTCATTTAAAAACAGGCAAGTTCCATCAAATTTTCATGGAACTTATGATATTTATGATATATAAATACTTTTTTAAGTATAGAAAAATACAGAAATATCTCAGGTTTTATTTATGATAGCAAAACCTAACACAAACTGATAAAGCAAACAAAGCAAAAATATAATAGTTTCACGTGTACGTTTAGATACAAAAACCCTACATAAACTGTTGGCAAACTCAGGAATCTTTTTTAAAGTAGCAGATGACAGGAGCAGGCAATGTTTTGTTTTGTTTTTGTTTTGTTCTAAGACTGACAGAATGACTCAACATTAGAAATACGATTCATAGAATTTATCACACTAATTGATTAAAGAGGAAAATAATACTTGATATACTCTAGAAAATTCAAAAAAAGACATTAAAATCTAATAGATTTTTAGTACACTGTGTATAGGATACTTCCTTAATCTGTTAAAGATTCACAGCCACCATTTAGTGAATATCTACTATGTCAGGCTCTCAGCTTGGCTTTTGGCATACCACCTAACCCATCCTCTCAGCAGCTCTGCAGTGTTGGTGATGACATCTTCACTTCGTAGATGAAGCCCCAAATGATTATAAACTGAGAATTGGTTTTTGAACCCTCAGGATGTGACTGAAACCCATGCTTTTCCTAGTAGTTCCTTATTACAGCAATTCTGTTTTCTAGCGGTTATTTACCTTTGTTCTTAGTATAATGAGTTTTTTTTTTTTTTGTATAGGTATGATGTATTATGTTTGAGTCTACAGAATACTGTGCTTTTTCTTTACACTTCAGAGTAAAAGTGTCACGTAAAATAATAATCTTTGAGGGTGGGCATCTTAACACATCATGTGTCTGTAATTGGCTTACAAGCCTGACTAGCAGTGTGATCATTTTGATTTTAGATTTCTATGTTGAGGTTACTGAATCTTAGGGTATCTGCTGTATAGGAATAATACTTGCATTGTAAATTTGAAATTGAACCATGAGCACATATAACTGCACCATGTCAGTCACTATCAAGAAGTTCACTGACCATTATAGAAGCATATAGAAACTCAGTGTTTACTGTCTGGAAAACATTAACATTTTCACAACAAATATTCCCATAGATAGATAGATACATACATACATAGATATGATATATAGATATATATATGTAGTGTGTGTATATATATATTATATTGTATTTCTAGAGCATATATTGTATGTATTGTATTTCTAGAACAACTTGCATTGTGCTCAAACAGGTAACACTGAGCCCTGTAGTTAGGCCACTGTGTGGCTTCCTTTTAGCTTCAGACACAGAGGTAAACTGATGCAAAGCTTACCAAATGGAAAAGTGTTTCTGCAAAAAATGATCTGAGTACACACACTGTTACTTTCATACCTTTTGTCATTCTGTGAGTGTTATGGTTGTGGCACCTGACAAAGTATATGATAGCAAAAAAGCATGTCCTGCAGGCAAAACATGTGGGCCAGATTTGGATTGGATTTTAAATTGTGTCACTGCCATAAGGGCAGATGTCTTTAAAGAAACAAGAAAAGCATCAGTTCTGAAAGAGATTACCTTGTTCAGTTCTCCACTTGTAAGGATGTAATTTTTAAGGGAAATATATTTTTCTTTTTTCCTCAGTGCTACTGAAGACTGTATTTTGGAATAAAATGTAGTTAACTCCTAGGGGAAAAATATTTTTTTTTTTAAATTAAGATTTTCTTGTTTGCTGTATTACCAATGGTTCTCCTTTTTAAATTCAATAAATACCGTTCATCTAAAGTATTGGTTTTCATCCTGGATAATATTACTCCCAGGGGGCATTTGGCCATGCGTAAAGACTATTTTGCTTGTCACAACAGGGGAAGGATTCTGATGCCAGTGAGTGGATGCCAGGGATGCTGCTAAATATCCTGTAATGTGCAGAGTAACCACCACAACAAAAATTACCTGTCCTGAAATGTCAGTAGTTGAGAAACCTTGCTCAAAAATGTATCTTTTATTTTCAGTAAGTGGAAGAAAAGGTGTCATCAAGTAAAATGAATAACCTGATTTTAAGATTTTGATAGTCCGGGCTGCTTTAGGCTGATATAGATAGAATGTTCTGTAAGTTAAAACTCCTGCAGAATGGCTGACATGTGTGAACTGGGTTCTTAAGTCTGTAAACATAGTTTTATCCTCTGTACCCTTAGTGATCTTTCTCTTGGATTGCCAGTTCCAGTGTAAATTTTAATAATATGATGCTAAATACCTGTTTTTCTTTTTCAAAGTAAAGTGAAAAGTGTGTAAAGTCATTTGATACAGACTACAAAGTAGAAGTTTTCAGTTGTCATGTCAAAAATCTGTAAGTTAGGACAATCTAAACTTCCTGATGTTGAAATGCTACAAGTTGACATTTGGGAGATCTTTCCTGACCAACTTCCAAAAAAAGAACACCACTCCTGGAGAACAGAAGACCAATGCAGCAAAACATTATTTTCGGAGCCAGACTATATGCATATATATAATACCTATTTGCCCTTCTACTGTACTTGGCTCACAAATCTTGAATCCTGGATAATTATGATAATTATTGCTAACTTTTTTGAGCAATAACTATGTCCCAGGCATCATGCCAACTGCTTTATTATCCCTGTGGTCAAATAAAAACTTAGACATAATATATTTCAGTAATTTATTTAAAGTTACTCTTTTAGTTAATGGTGAAACCGAGAGTCAAACCATCTGGGTCTAGACCTGAACTCTTATCCACGATGGTGTGCTATGCCGTCAACACACTTATCCAGGATAACTGAGCATTGCTGGGAAAAAAAAAATCACATAAAACTATGTGGAACAGTGCACTTGTAAATGTATTTTTTCACCTCAGCTGGTTTTCTTAGTAATCAATTTATTTTATTATTTCCTTCTATTTAAATGAACTATTTAGTGCTTTCAGCACTTTCTTCAAGTTTATCTTGGGATTCTTACTTTTGAATGACCTTGTATCTTTTATCATATAAAAAAGAGTAAAAAGACAGTTATTGGTGTTTTTAAAGTTAATTCTTGCAGAGCACCTTATTCTGCATCCTTATACGATATGTAGTTTCACTGTCATTATAGTTTTTCCTCATTAAGTTACCACAAATATACTAAGGAGCTAATAAAGCTTAAGATTCAGAGTCTCTTTTGCATGCTTTCTTCAGAGACACTAGGAGAGCCCCTAGCGATGGGTTTGCACAGTTTTATAATTTTATACATTTTTCAAAATATGTTTTACTTTATTCTTTCCATACTTAAAAAATTTTGAAACACTTTAAACTGACAAAGAGGTAATAACAAAACACCCATATTAAGGGAAGAGGTGCTGATCTAATTATCTTTGGAAATGAGTGAAGTATGTAAGATTAAACGCAAAAGGAACTGCACATAAACATTGTGCTCTATTGATAAAGTTGTGTCCTATGGAGATAGAGGTCAACAGTTGTGAGACGACCCTATATGTATACTGAAGTTGTAAAATGAATTAAATCTATGATGGATGACAGAGTTGGAAAGAGAAGTTACAGACAAGAAAGGGGAGAAGACTAGAATAATTTCCATGGTAAAGGTTTTGAGTTAAAGACATTAGTATGAACTCATGTTTATATATATATATATATATATATATATATATATATATATATATATACACACACACATACATACACACATACACACACACATATATGTGTGTACATATGTGTATATGTAGATATATGTATGTATATGTATTATGTATATATGTATATGTATATATAGTGACAGATGCTTATAAATATTATATATCTAATTGTGTGTATGAAATTAGTGTACACCTACTTATTTCCTTGTTCTTTCAGCTCAACTAGCCTGCAAGCAATGACACCTCAAGAGCAACAAACATACCCAGTACCCACAACTTAATTTTTGCTAAACTTCTCTAGTAAAGGAAACCAGGATATTTGGAGAAATGGCTGATGGTAGGACTGGGTAGAATGTATACAAGATGAGCCTAAACATTTTTTAGTACTAGAAAGTAAAGAATTTCTCAAAATAAAACACCCACAGTGATGGGGATATATTAGAAGCACAAAGGAGCCTACTGAGAGAACTCCCAGTGGCAAATCTGGAGCAACTTGAGTAAATAGATAAATAAACCAATATTGGATTATAACCCAAAATATAATGTATCAATGATGGTTCATTAATTGTGACAAATGTACCATACTAATGTTATATGTTAATAATAGGAGCAACTGGTGTGTGATATATGGGAACTCTGTACCATCTTCAGAGCTTTTCTGTACTCTGTACTATGTATTCTGAAATAAAATTTTGTATTTAAAAAAAAAGTTTAAGGCCTGGTACTGTGGCTCATGCCTGTAATCCCAGCACTTTGGGAGGCCAAGGTAGGTGGACCACCTGAGGTCAGGAGTTTGAGAGCAGCCTGGCCAACATGGTGAAACCTGCCTCTAATAAATATACAAAAATTGGTCGGGCATGGTGGTGGGCACCTGTAATCCCAGCTACTCAGGAGGCTGAGACAAGAGAGTTGCTTGAACCTGGGACGTGGAAGTTGCAGTCATCTGAGATCCCGCCACTGCACTCCAGCCTAGGTGACAGAGCAAGGCTCCATCTCAAAAATAAATAAATAAATAAATAAATAGTTTAAGAAATATACACCTGTCATCTAAACTGACAGTATGCCCCTTTTTTTCCCCCCAAAAGCACACTTGTACTTTATTTATTTATTCATTCATTTATTTAATTGAGATGGGGTCTAACTCTTTCATGCAGGCTGGAGTGCAGCAGCGTGATCTTGGCTCACGGCAACGTCCGCCTCCAGGGTTCAGGCGATTCTTCTGCCTCAGCCTCCCGAGTAGCTGGGATTACAGGTGTGTGTCACCACTCCCAGTTAATTTTTGTATTTTTAGCAGAGACAGGGTTTCACCATGTTGGCAAGGCTGGTCTTGGACTCCTGACCTCAAATGATCCACCCTCCTCGGCCTCCCAGATTGCTAGGATTACAGGTGTCAGCCACCGTGCTCAGCCATACTTGTGCTTTCAATGTGTGTAAATGTTTTTGCAAACCACTTGAAAGTAAGTTACAGACATCAAGACAATTTCACCTCTACCCTAAGCATTTCAGTATGTATTCCTGAGAACAAGGACTTTCTCATATACAACAATATCACTATGATAACCAAGAAATTCAACATTGATTCAATAATACTTAATTTACATAGTCCATTTTTAAAAATCAGGTTTGAAACAAGATTCACATATTACATTGGGTTGTCATGTCTCTTTAATCCCTAACATCTTTGTCTTTCATAACATTGAATTCTTTTTAACAGTTCCATCTAGTTATATCATAGCATCATTACATTGCTTAGATTGTTTTCTCATTATTAGATCCAGGTTAAACATTTTTGGGTAAAGTATTATAGATAAGCCATAAATCTCCCATGATATCACATGAGAAAGCACATTATTGCTCCAGCTAAGTTTGTTAACTTGATTAAGATGGTACAGATATATCAATTTAAAAAAATAAAAATTTTCCCACTGTAATAAATAATCTGTGGACTGTTAGTTTGAGTCTGTACTCAAATATATGTGTGTGTGTGTGTGTGTGTGTGTGTGTGTGTGTGTATATAAAACTTAAAAGCCTTTCATCCAGTCATCTTAGCATTTATCAATGCTGACTGCCTGAATTATTTATTATTTTAAGGGTTGAATATGGTAATTTAATAATTACATGTTTTCACATTAAGAAACTTGAATTCTTCTGTAAATAAGAGTTTTTCTTTCTCTCCAGAACTAAGTTTAGATGTTATGTATTTTCTCAGAAAATATAGTTTTATTTTACAAATAGGTATCCTTTTAAATATAGCATGTTTAGGTCATCCCCTAAGAAAGGAAAAAAGGAATAAAGTGTTGGAATTACAAAAACCTTTTCTGGAAACAGTTTGGGAGTTTCTTATAAAGTTAAAAATGTACTCATATAAGACACAGTCATCAAACTCGAATCCCACTCTGTCTCCTTCCCAGGCTTCTTGTGGGAGAATAATAACGGGAAGCACTAAATGACAACCCTGTACACAAAGATGCATATTTTTTCATACATATTATTAATAAGCTACTGTGCAAAATAGTGTATGCTAGACCATGTGGGTGTATAAATTAAAATATACCAAGTGAAACTTACATCTAATTAATTTGACAATTTTTAAGCGCTATCTTTGCTTTTACCAAGAAACTATATCAATTTTTTTTTTTTTTTTTTTGAGACAGAGTCTTGCCCTGTTGCCTAGGCTGGAGTGCAATGGTGCGATCACTGCTCACTGCTCACTGCTCACTGCAACCTCCGCCTCCCAGGTTCAAGTGATTCTCCTGCCTTAGCCTCCCAAGTAACTGGGATTACAGGCATGCACCACCACGCCCAGCTAATTTTTTTATCTTTAGTAGAGAAGGACTTTTACCATATTGGCCAAGCTGGCCTGAAACTCCTGACCTCGTGATCTGCCCACCTCTGCCTCCCAAAGTGCTGGGATTAGAGGCGTGAGCCACTGCACCGGGCCTCAATATTTTTCTTGATATGAGACAGTGCAATGATGGAACAAGCTTGATTTCCAGATGTGTTGTACATTTTCCCTCTAGTGGGAATGACTGGTATATTTTCTCACTCGTTTTCATTGCCCTGTGCATATTATAAAATACTTTTATAATCTTCTCACGCTAATACTTTTATTCTTAGGCAAAACACCTATCTTCTAAAGTGTTCAGACATTTATTCTCTTTCACCCATCATGTTTCTGCTTTTTGATAGCATTATGCAAACAATAAATCCAAGCCAGAACTCTTTTAGACACCTCTATATCCAATTATGCATTTGGATCCTGATAAGGATTAGGACCTTGAGTAGGTGATTTATTAAAATTAATTGTTTTTGAGTTTAGAGAGTAGTTGTTGGACTTATTTTTCCCTGGCTTTAACTATGCAAAATAATAGACCACTTACAGCATACTTATATTTATATAACACAACCTATAATTGTTATGTAGTAAGTCCACCACACAGCCATTATGAATTTTTTTATTAGGTACAGATTGTGAAATTCAAAGAAATACAACTTTTAGAGCCTCTATCTTCTTAACACGTTCTTTAAAAAGAATTATGCTTATGTGATTTTAGAGTCTCTTCCATATAAAACAGCACGTGTGACGCAATGGCAATCTGGAAAACAAAGTAAGCCACCTTGCGTCATTTAGTGAGGAAGTAAGCCATCATATGCAAGTCATAGGCTCCAAGTATACTGCTGTAATTCAGGACAAGATAGTTATTGAAGCTCAAAAATAGATCCTGAGTCATCAAATAATCTCTTTTGATAGTGTGAAACTTCTAAAATTGTTCTTTTGTATGAAAAAAATGAAGATAATTCCAAATGATGAATTTATTGAGGATTTACCAATAAGTTATTTTTTAATTTACATTTCTATAAATCTTCTGGTACTGTAAGTTACGCCAAGCACATGTTTAGCATCATGCCATGTTATCAATATAGAAATATACCTAACAATTTATTGGATACTCTTTCTGTGGCAACTTTCAAGTATTTTACATGTATTTGCTTTTTTTAATTATTAGAATAAGCATTCGAAAAAATGTACTATTACCCTCCCCATATTATTGACGAAGAAACTGAGGCACAGAGAACAAAAGCTAATGTGATAAGGCTAGTGTTAGAACTCATATTTACAGTATTTTTTGTATGAAATTGCCTTATCCTTTTAAATACTTGTTGGTGAAGTTACATGGAGGTCTTGATGCTCCCCATTCTCAAAAATATATAAAATTATTCTGCTAATAGATTATTTTAAATATTTTAATATTATATGTATACATACCTAAAACCCTCTAATTCTCTGGTAGAATTATGTTGTAAATCCTGAAAATCAGAAATAGAGAACTTTTTCATTAATACTTTTCATTTCTCTTGTTTTATTATACTGCTAGATAACACTTTGAGATTAAACTATTAATATTTATTGATTAATCTGAAGAGTTTTTCTCCACTAAAGCTATGTGCATAGAACATGATATCAATGAAGCTTTCAAAAGAAAATAAATCCCTCTTTTATTGTTAAGGTATAGAGAGTGCTAAATAATAAGCAGTTTATAAAGAACTCTAATACATTATATTATGTGGTATATTTATGGTGTGTCAAAAATAATTAGCAATCAAGAAAATTATTTTGAAAATGAATTACTGGCCTGTGCCAAGACCATGAACGATTTTGATTTTTACTTTCATCAAGCAAATTCTATAAACAGAAATAGACTATTGAAAGACATTAAAGTTGATCTAATTTTCCTCCTCCAGAATAAAAAATGGTATTTGAGGCAAATAATGTGATTTACCTGAGATTATAATGCTAGTTAATGTTAAATAAAAATGTTTAATCTGTCACTTCTGTGGGTTCATAAATTATTTTCAATGTAATTAACATGGTCTTTATGTTTTAGAAATCTCGAAATTGTACCATGGAAGAGTTGTGATATATTGTTTATTTTGGAGAAGTAAATGGTAATGAGGAAGGGAAACACTTTGCTGATATCACCATTTATTTTATTAAATTTTAAATGGACTCAGAATGTTTTTCTATTTTCATCTTTTAAATAAGTGTCACTGAAAATATTGTATTATTACATCAAATTGTCAGGGAAATTTTGATTTTCCACTGCCTTCCTGGGACAGACTTTAAAAATATTCAGTGAGAAAGCACAAGATAAATGTACATAATATCTGATCCCAGAGGAAATAAATAAAATTCTGGGTCCAGAAGATAAAATTAAAAGGAAACAAAATTCTCTGTAATAATTAAACTCAGGAAGGTATGAGAAGATAATGTGACTTTCAGTTTCAAGTTTGCTAAAATAAATACAGAATGCAGACTGGTAAATAGGTGGGTTAGAAAACTAACACGTGGCAGAAGAAAGTGTCTATCTAGGAGCATTTGGAAGGTTGTGGTACCAGTCAACTGAAGATTAAGATCTAACAGTATAAGAATCTCTAGAGGCAATGGAGAGATAAATATAAAACAGAGTTCAAAGTATAAATAAAACAGCATTTCTTGAACAATTTACCATCCCGTGTGTTAAGTGTTTGGTCAACTTTAAACTGAAAACCTAAAATAGAAATGGATCACGTAAGCATTAGTCCAATGTTTCCTTATTTTGAGCTGGCTCAAAAAAAAAAAAAAAAAAAAGCCTAAATGGAAACATCTCAGTTTGTAAAATAATGTGTTCTATCATTTAATAGAATAAGTTTTGGGAATTTTTATTCATTTTTTATCATGAATAAAACCACTTAAAATTAGATATACTAGCATTTTAAATATTATAATTTTTATAGTTCAAAATTTTGTTTTATTTGAGTTTTGGTGCAGAATAGGAACCTCATGGGACTTACTCTGACCTAGAAGCTCAGTTTTAATCTTTGTCAAATCTACTTTAGCCATTACAGATAGCACTGTAATGTTATAGATAAAGATTGTGTGGTGGTGTTAGAAGTTCTTCTGGATGATTTCTTTTCAAGTACTCCTATGGTCACCATTCACTTCCCAAGTCAAGTAATGAGGTAGTCAGTGCTAAATGGACATTAGGTATTTGATGAAATTAAGGCCTATTCTCTCAAACTTGCTCAGACTACTCTTAGGCTATTGAGTTAGAAACTTTTCAAACTAGCATTCTTCACTTTATTACAACATTTTTATATTTTTAAAACCGTATTTTTAAACCCATTGTTTATTTTTTAAGCTCCAAGTTGAGGTATGATGAAGAATATTGGATATAATGAAATGGTATTTGTCATTTTCATCACTGTGTATGCAATACCTGGCATATAAAAAGTTCTCTAAGTATTTCCGACTGATTGAATAAATTACTTTCATTTAAATTGACCTTTCATATGCAGATTGCTTAATCTTTATAACAAAATTGTGCTGTAATTAGTAATAAACCTATATTGCACGAAGGGAGAGAAAGATCAGATTACTTTTCCAAAGTCACCCTAACTAGTATGTAGTAAACTAGAACTTGAATCTATTTTCTTTCAACCGTAGGTGCTAGTTTGGGAGATGTTTTTACCTTGATCATTCCAAAGCATAGAAGGGTGCTGTTTTTTGAGGATCCTGGAGAGATCCCAAAAGGATTTTATTTCATGATTATTATAGGCAGTTATCAATCTGGAATTTAGTTTTCTGAACATATTGCTTTTATTGACCAGTTGTTTTTTTTTTAAACAGAAATACCATTTCACACAGCAACCCCATTACTGGGTATACACTCAAAAAAATATAAATCATTGTATCACCAAGACACATGCACACATATGTTCCTTGTAGCACTATTCACAATAGCAGAGACATGGAATCAACCTAAATCCCCATCAATGGTAGACTGGATGAAGGAAATGTGGTACATATACACTGTGGAATACTATGCAGCCATAAAAAATGAGATCATGTTCTTTGCAGGAACATTGATGGAGCTAGAGGCCATTATGCCTAGAAAACTAACCCAGGAACAGAAAACCAAATACCACATGTTCTCACTTAGAAGTGGGTGCTAAACGATGAGAACACATGAACACATAGAGGGGAACAACATACACTGGGTCAATCAGAGGGTGGAGGGTGGGAGAAGGGAGAGGATCAGGAAAAACAACCAATGCGTACCAGGCTGAATATCTAGGTGATGAAATAATCTGTACAACAAACCCCTATGACACAAGTTTATCAATATAGCCAACCTGCACATGTATCCTGAACTCAAAAGTTAAATTTTGAAAAGACCAGTTTTTGTTAACTATGCTGTTACTAAAGACAACTTAGATTAAATCTCCTTTAAATGTTAAAAGCTTAACATTTAACTGTATTGGTTAGACATGAGAAGTTAAATCTTCAGTTTCTTTGAAATGAATGTGATATTGACAGCTTTTAATGAGAACCATTAAGTTTCCATTTTACACCTTCAAGAGTGAGAAACATTGAGACAATCATGGTGTGGGGTGGAGGAGAAGGAGATTATTGTTGGATGTATATTTTACCCACTTACTCATTACACCTTCCTTCTTTTCAATGGAAGCCAGATTTTCCTCTGGCATCTGAGCCTCCTTCACACAGCTCTGTAGTTCTGAGGAAGCTACCCTCTTCCTAGCTTCAAGGGAATTAGTCCCAATTAGCCTAAGTTAATCTTTATGTGACATTTTCCAAGCAACTGTGAGAAACTTAATATCGTCCAGTGAGGCTAAATGAAAGGACTTATGGCTGTGGTTCAAAGATGGATTTCTTTCTCTTTGTGTAAGAGGTGACAGAGCTGTGACTGTAAGTGCTACTCTTTGGTTGGGTATCAGAGCAAGGAGAATCAAGGTCTGTTTGACCTTGTTGTACTTTGTTGGTGACTTCTAGTTCCGTGGTGGCTTACCTTAATTCTAGGCTTCTTAAAATGTCAAATAATTACCATTTTGAAGCCATTTTGAGTGTGTATTTTGTTACTTGCAGTTAAAACCAACTTAACTGACCCCTTTGAAGACATTTTGGGAGAGTTTCACAATAGAAAAACTGGACAAAAGAAGATAATAATCTGTTTACCTGGCTATACGTAGGGATATGTTTAATAAAGTATTAGGCACAACACAGTCACAGGGTTTCAGGTGTGTGTATTTCAGGTACATTTGCATATTTTAAATAAGCATGTGTGTGTATTTCAGGTGTGTAGGTGTGTATTTCAGGTGTATGTTTTGTTGTTGTTGGTGGTTTTTTTCCATTGGGGAAGTGACTGGTATCTTTTCCTGTTTTGAACTTACTTCCTTAGAATTATTCCATAATTGAGCAATGATCTGGTCAAAAATATAATCTCCATTCTATACACAATGGGATTAGGTAGGATAAAAATCATTCTCAATTACATAAGGAGAGGACAATTAGACTTATTTTCTGACATTTATTCAATAATTATTTATTAAGTGACTATTATTTACCAGGCAATATTTTGAGCAATGAGAATACAGATCTCAGCAAAACAGAATTCTTTCCTTCATGGGGCTTATAAGTCTAGATACCTAACATAATATCATATTACAGTGTTATTGTATCTGTACTGTTCATGTAAGTTTGAAAGTTGGTGTAAATAAGAAGCAAAAAGGTCTCTCCTTTTTAAGAATATTATTTTTCCCAATAACTTATTTTTTCATGACTAAAAATGACAGTGTAACTCAGGTTTAATACTGCCCTCAAAGAGTACAGCAAATGAGTAACATTAGACAGGCAAATTATTTCAAAACATATTAAACCAGGAAACCCTGTTTAGATTCATTTCAATGAAATATTGCAAATTGATGTTTATAAGAAATATTTTAACAGTGCTTCGTAAGAATTCATCAGGAGGCAATCAAGACAGATTGGTGTCTTGAGTAGTGCATCATATATAGTTACAGTATTTATTCTACTTTATCTTAAATAAATACTGAGAGTAAATGCTTCCAGAGAAAGAAAATTCTTCACGAAGAATAAACAAATGGAAAAAATGAAAGGTATTAAAGATCTTCTTTGGAAATTAAACTGTAGTGCAAACAATATTTTATAAATTTTACCAATTTATTTTCAGCTGCACCTGATATGCATAATTTATTAGGCTTGATGTACTCTTGATGATTTTATTGTTCTCACTGTTGAATAATCTTGGCATGTTTTATATTGCGGGGTAATATGGTTTGGCTCTTGTGTGTCCCCACCCAAATCTCATCTCAAATTGTAATCCCCGTGTGTCAAGGAAAGGACCTCTAATCCCCAAGGGTAGAGGGAGGGAGATGATTGGGTTATAGGGGTGGCTTCTTTATACTGTTCTGCTGATAGTGAGTAAGTTCTCATGAGATCTGATGATTTTATAAGTGTCTGGCATTTCCCTGCTCGAACTTCTCTCTCCTGCTGCCATGTGAAGAAGGTCCTTGCTTCTCCTTCGCCTTCTGCCATGATTGTAAGTCTCCCAACCATGCAGAATTGTTAGTCAATTAAACCTCTTCTTTCTATTAATTACCCAGCCTTGGGTCTTTCTTTATAGAAGTGTGAAAACAGACTAATACACTGGGACAATGTACGTTTGTGTGTACATTTGGATCTCTCAAAAAGTGATTGACTATGAGACAGTTACAGATAAAAACAAGGCATTTCTAATATTATATTAAATGAAAATCTGCCTTTTTGTTAATCTCCCCTAAATGAGCTTAAAGCAAGTTTGAAGGTATAATAGCTCATGTGTTTAATAACTCAAATGTGTACTTAAAGTTCAAACTTAGTACTTAACCAAATAAATATAGCCCTTACACATGTAGTGTTATAATATTTTTTTAAATTACCTAGGATAGCATTTTGAATTTGTTTTGATACAATTCTTAACCAATTCTGATCATGGGGTCATCATAGGTTATTAAGTAAAAAATAAAGTAATAAAGCTTCTAACATTTATGATTGTTAAATTCCTGATAGTAGCAGCATAGTCTGATTTAATCAAGCTGAAACATCATAGTTGGGATTTTTAATTGCCCTGTGAATCTTAATTGATCATTCCCCCTAACTTTCAAAAGGTTTTAGAGGGTAGCAAATTGGAGATAGTAATAATTAAACATTAAGTAAAATATATAATAGTAATTAGAAATTTGCTTCTAAGTGCTAGGAGCTGTTGTAATCACTTTCCGCAACTTCCTCTAAAGAAGCAAAGCCAGAAATTGATCAATGGGAGTGGGGCTCTAACTTCTGTGATAGCCACCATTATTTATATTGCTATAGTCTGTTCAAAACAATGTTTAAAAAGATGGAAGGTCATTGCCCTATTATAAAATGGATGTCCAAGATGAATCTTGGAGTTTTAATTTTTTAACAATTTACTTACATTTAAATTCTACCAATTTTCTATCAATTTAGAGAGCCTATGAGTCACTTAATGGTGGAAGAACACTGCAGAAGTTTCATTTTTTAGCTACTTCTGTCATATTTGTCATTTAATTTCCTGCTAAATATAACTCAGAATTAACCTGAAACTATTTTGTAACATTTTATGAAACATTTCTTGCTTTAGTGTTTTATAAACCTAAAGTAATAAAGAAGAAAAGGAGTTGAAATACATTATATACAGGAAGGCTTTTCAGGTGTGTGTACTACATATTAAAGGACATACTACATTCAGATTTTCAGCAAGGAAGGTGCTTGCCCACCACCGCTACAGCAATTTTAGAATCGTGATCTCTAGACACAAAAAGAGAATGTCCAGGTTTCAGAAGGACCATTATGTTTCTAATGCCAATGTATAAAATATAAATAAACTGGGAGCTGGGGCCAAGGTGGCCCATTAGAAGCAGCAGAGATTGGAGGCTCCCATCAAAAAGAACCATCACAGTGTGCAAATCCTGCACCAGCAACCGAGGTATCCAGATTCTGTCATCAGGACTGACTGGATGGCTGGTGTGACCCAGGAAGAGAAAGGAAGAGCAGTGTGGTATGGCGGCCCACCTGAGAGCCACAAGGGGCAGGGGAGCCCCTACCCCCCAGCCAAGTGAGATTGTGAGTGAGCGTGCTACCCAGCTTGGGGAAACATGCTTTTTCCACGGAATTGTGAAACCCACGAATTGGAAGATCCCACTTGTGAGCCCACGCCACCGGGGCCCAGGCTCCCAACCATGGAGCTGCACAGATTCTCAATAGCCACTAAGCTAGAATCTGCATAAGCCAGCCGAGCTCCAGTGGGGAGGGGCAACAAGCACCACAGCTGCAGAGGCCTGCTGTCTAAACCATCTGAGCTACTTGGGGGAGGGGCAATGTCCAACACTGGGACTGATAGCTGCCTAACACACTAATCTCCCAGAGCGGGGGAAGGGCAGCAGCCATCTCTATAGCTCCAGGTCACACTTTTCCCCTACTGAAGCCTGGGAGGCTAGATGGCTTGGTCCCAAGAGATATCTATCCCCCACAGCTCAACGCAGGAGCCGTGGCATACTGTAGACCGAGTGCCCCTTCAGGCCTGACCTTGGCCCATCCCTCCTCACTGGGCAGGGCCTCCCTGAAGGAACTCTGACAACTCCATCCAGGGGCTTAGGGACCCAACTCTGATCTCCCTGGGCATAAGCCCCTAGGGAAGGGGGTGACCATAGTCTCCACAAACCAGCAGACTTAGACTTTCCTCCTGCTAATTCTGAGGAATTCAGGCAGCCCAGATGATTGTGTTTCCCCCCGAAACGAAGCACACCCCTCCACCAAGGGACAGTCAAAGTGCTTTGTTAAACAGATCCTGCTCCTCGTGCCACCCAACTGGGTGAGATCCTCCAACAGGGTTGTCAGATACCCTATACAGGAATGTTCCTACTGGCAATCAGTTCGGTGCCCCTCGAGGTCAGAGATCCCAGAGGAAGGAGCGGCACACCTCTTTGCTGTTCTCCAGCTTCCTCGAGTGACATCTCCAGGCACAGGAGCAAATCAGCTCCTGAATGACTCCTGGGTAAATAATGGAATTAAGCCAGAAATCAAGAAGTTCTTTGAAACCAATGAGAACAAAGAGACAACATACCAGATTAGCTGGGACACAGCTAACACAGTGTTAGGAGGGAAATTTATAGCAGTAAATGCCCACATAAGAAAGCTAGAAAGACCTCAAATCAACAGCATAATATCACAATTAAAAGAACTAAAGAAGCAAGAACAAACAAATCCAAAAGGTAGCAGAAGACAAGAAATAACTAAGATCAGAGCAGAGCAGAACTGAAGGAGACAGAGACATGAAAAACCCTCCAAAAAATCGATGAATCCAGGGGCTGGTTTTTTGAAAAAATAAGATAACAAAACAGATAGACTCCTAGCTAGACTAATAAAGAAGAGAAGAGAAAAGGATCAAATAGACACAATAAAAAATGATAAAGGGGATATCACCACCGACCCCACAGAAATACAAACTACCATCAGAGAGTACTATAAACACCTCTAGCAAATCAACTAGAAAGTCAAGAAGAAATAGATACATTCCTGGACACATATACCCTCCCAAGACTAAATTAGGAATAAGTTGAATCCCTGAATAGACCAATAAAAAGTTCTGAAATTGAGGCAGTAATTCATAGCCTACCAACCGAATAAAGCCTTGGACCAGAGGGATACACAGCTGAATTCTACCAGGGGTACAAAGAGGAGCTGGTACCATTTTTTTCTGAAATTATTACAAACAATAGAAAAGGAGGGACTCCACCCTGATTCATTTCATGAGGCCAGCATTATTCTGATACCAAAATGTGGCAGAGAAACAACAACAACAAAAAATTTCAGGCCAATATCCATGATGAACATCAATGAAAATATCCTCAACAAAATACTGGGAAACCAAATCCAGCAGCACATCAAAAGCTTGTCCACCCTGATCAAATTGGCTTCATCCCTAGGGTCAACGCTGGTTCAACATATGAAAATCAATAAATGTAATCCATCACATAAACAGAACCAATGACAAAAACCACATGATCATCTCAACAGATGCAGAAAAGGCCTTCGATACAATTCAACATCGCTTCTTGTTAAAAACTCTCAATAAACTAGTTATTGATAGAACATATCTCAAAATAAAAACAACTATTTATGACAAACACACAGCCAATATCATACTCAATGAGCAAAAGCTGGAAGCATTCCCCTTGAAAACTGGCACAAGACAAGGATGCTGTCTCTTACTGCTCCTATTCAATATAGTATTGGAAGTTCTGGGCAGGGCAGTTAGGCAAGAGAAAGAAATAATTGGCATTCAAATAGGAAGAGAAGAAGTCAAATCGTCTCTGTTTGCTGAAGATATGATTACATATTTAGAAAACCCCATCGTCTCAGCCCAAAAACTCCTTAAGCTGCTAAGCAACTTCAGCAAAGTCTCAGGATAAAAAAATCACTGTACAAAAATCACAAGCATTCCTATATACCAACAGAAGATAAGCAGAGAGCCAAATCATGAATCAACTCCCATTCACAATTGCTACAAAGAGAATAGAATACCTAGGAATACAGCTAACCAGGGATGTGAAGGACCTGTTAAAAGGGAACTACAAACCGCTTCTCAAGGAAATAAGAGAGGACACAAACAAATGGAAAAACATTCCATCCTTATGGATAGGAAGAATCAATAATGTGAAAATGGCTATACTACACAAAGTAATTTATAAATTCAGTGCTGTTCCCATCAAACTAACATTGGCATTTTTCACAGAATTAGAAAATAATACTTTAAATTTCAAAGGAAACCAAAAAGGGCCCATAAAGCCAAGATAATCCTAGCAAAAAGAACAAAGCTGGAGTCATCATGCTATCTGATTTCAAACTATACTACAATGGTACAGTAACCAAAATAGCATGGTACTAGAACCAAAACTGACATACAGACCAATTGAACAGAACAGATACCTTAAAAGTAACACCACATATCTACAACCATCTGATCTTTGACAAACTGGAAAAAAACAAGTAATGGGGAAGGGATCTCCTATTCAATAGATGGTGCTGGGAAAACTGGCTAGACATATGCAGAAAACTGAAACTGGACCCCTACCTTACACTATATCTAAAAATTAACTGAAGATGGATTAAAGACTTAAAAGTAAAATCGAAAACCTAGAAGAAAACTTAAGCAGTATCATTGAGACGTAGTCATGGGCAAAGCCTTCATGAGGAAAACACCAAAAGTAATGGTAACAAAAGCCAAAATTGACAAATAGGATCTAATTAAACTAAAGATCTTCTGCACAACAAAAGAAACTATCATCAGAGTGAACAGGCAACCTACAGAATGGGAGAAAAATTTTGCAATCTACCCATCTGACAAAGGTCAAATGTCCAGAATCTACAAGGACCTTAAACAAATTTACAAGAAAAAAACAACCCCATCAAAAATTGGGCAGAGGATATGAACAGACAGTTCTAAAAAGAAGACATTCATGTGGCCAACAAACATATGATAAAAAGCTCAACATCACTGATAATTAGAGAAATGCAAATCAAAATTACAATAAGATACCATCTCATGCCAGTCAGAATGGCGATTATTAAAAACTCAAGAAACTATACATGCTGTCGAGGCTGTGGAGAAATAAGAGTGCTTTTACACTATTGATGGGAATGTAAATTAGTTCAACCATTGTGGAAGACATTGTGGAAATTCCTCAATGATCTAGAACCAGAAGTACCATTTGACCCAGCCATCCCATTACTGGGTATATACCCAAAGGATTATAAGTCATTCTACTATAAAGACACATGCACATGTATGTTTATTGCAACACTATTTACAATAGCAAAGACCTGGAACCAAACCAAATGCCCTTCAATGATACACTGAATAAAGAAAGTGTTGTACATATACACCATGGAATATTATGCAGCCATAAAAAGCAATGAGATCATGGTTTTTGTAGGGACATGTATGAAGCAGGAAGCCATCATCCTAAGTAAACTAACACAGGAACAGAAAACCAAACACTGCATGTTCTCACTCATAAGTGGCAGTTGAACAATGAGAACACATGGACAAAGGGAGAGGAAAAACACACATGGGGGCCAGTTGGGGGTGGGGGCCGAGGGTAAGGAAAGCATTACAAAAAATAGCTAATGCATGCAGGGCTTAAAACCTACATGACGAGTTGGTAGGTGCAGCAAGCCACCATGGCACATGTATACCTATGTAACAACCCTACATGTTCTGCACTTGTCTCCTCCTGGGACTTAAAGTAAAATAAAATATATAAATTAATTTTAAGTTTAGATTCCTATTTAAACAAACATCCCAAATTGATATCATAATCATGTTTCTTCCATTTGTCAGATTTATAATTTAAAAAGTCTTTTCAGGAAATCTGAATAGCTGATTAATAGATTAAGTCCACAATTGATGAGAATAAGTATATCCCAATTTTATACCTTAAGGTTTTGACTATCTTTAATTTTTAATTTTAAAGATACTCTTCATCTAATCTAGAAAACCTGACAGAAAGTGATGCAACATTACTGTCACACAAAGATCAGTGGGATAAGTGAACCCTCCTGGATTGATCAGATTAGACCAGAGTTTCTCAGTGCAGTACTATTGACATGCTGAGCTAGATCATTTATTTATATGGGGAGCTGCTCTGTGCACTGTAGGATGTTTAGAAGCATGCCTGGCTTCTACCCACTAGATCCTGGTAGCACCTTCCTCAGTTATGAAAAATAAAAAATGTATTCAGACAGTGCCAAGTGCTCCCTAGGGGTAAAATCTCCTTCAATCAAGAGTCACTGGGTTAACCAGTATCACAGGGAATGTCAAAACCAAGACTAGCCCAACTTGGGGATCATGGTTAAGCCACAGGAAGTATGTTTTTATATGATATATCAGGTAGGGATATCTTTGAGCATGAAACTTTTCTTTCTACTAATATTTGGATAGTGAGCTATCACTTTATTCTATGGTAGTATGACTCAGATATTCACCAAGTAGCATATAAAAGGCTTTTGCTTTTAGCTAATTTTTAGTTAGTAATGGTGGAAACTTAAGCCATGTTTCCACTCTTAAACACTGTGCTCTTTAACACTTCATACAAAATTTCTCAGATAGATTGGACTGATACCTTTTTAAATATTACATAGGAGAAATTCTAAAGTATATAGGGAGAAAATTGTGTATGCCAAAATAATTCTTGAAATCCGTAGGATGGTGCCAGTGCGAAAAATGATATTACATTTCTCAGTTAAG
Organism: Homo sapiens; assembly: GCF_000001405.40. Classification (NCBI taxonomy): domain Eukaryota; kingdom Metazoa; phylum Chordata; class Mammalia; order Primates; family Hominidae; genus Homo; species Homo sapiens. The sequence continues at coordinate 62,224,536 of NC_000006.12, read as the reverse complement.
TCCTACATAACCAGTGTTTCCAACAATATTAGGAAAGTTTAGCCATTTGTTCATCTTAATACCAGATGAAAGAGTTGTGTTTAGGGAGTCGTATTCCCATACAAACCTACACTTTACACACACACACACCCACTGATATGGTTTGGCTGTGTCCCCACCCAAATCTTATCTTGAATTACTCCCACATGTTTTGGGAGGGATCTGGTGGGAGATGATTTCAATCATGGAGGCAGTTTCCTCCATACTGTTCTTGTAGTAGTGAATACGTCTCACAAGATCTGATGGCTTTATCAGGGGTTTCTGCTTTATCAGTTTATGAGGGGTTGCATCTCTCTCATTTTCTCTTGCTGCTGTCATGTAAGCAGTGCCTTTCACCTCCTGCCATGATTCTGAGGCCTCCCCAGCCATATGGAACTGAAGTCAAATTAAACCTCTTTTTCTTCCCAGTCTCCAGTATGTCTTTATCAGCAGCATGAAAATAGACTAATACAGTAAATTGGTACTGCGAATGAGGAGTTGCTGAAAATATACCCAAAAATGTGGAAGCAGCTTTGGAACTGGGTAACAGGAAGAGGTTTTGAACAGTTTGGAGGGTTCAGAAGACAGGAAAATGTGGGAGAGTTTGGAACTTCCTAGAGACTTGTTGAATAGCTTTCACCAAAAGCCTGATAGTGATATGGACAATAAGGTCCAGGCTGAGGTGGTCTCAGATGGAGATGAGGAATTTGTTGGGAACTGGAACAAAGGTGACTCTTCTCAGGTTTTAGCAAAGAGACTGGTGGCATTTTCCCCTTGCCCTAGAGATTTGTGGAACTTTGAACTTGGGAGAGATGATTTAGGGTATCTGGTGGAAGAAACTTCTAAGCAGCAAAGCATTCAAGATGTGACTTGGGTGCTGTTAAAAGCATTCATTTTTATAAGGGAAGCAGAGCATAAAAGTTCAGAAAATTTGCATCCTGACAATGTGATAGAAAAGTAAAACCCATTTTCTGAGGAAAAATTCAAGCTGGCTGCAGAAATTTGCATAAGTAACAAGGAGCCAAATGTTAATCCCCAAGACAATGGGGAAAATGTCCTTAGGGCAAGTCTAGGTCTTCACGGCAGCCCCTCCCATCACAGGCCCAGAGGCCTAGGAGAAAATGATTTCGTTGGCCTGACCCAGGGTCCCCAACCTGTGTGCAGCCTAGGTACTTAGTGCCCTGCTTCCTAGCTGCTCCAGCTGTGGCTGAAAGGGGCTAATGCAGAGCTCGCACCATAGCTTCAGAAGGCGCAAGCCCCAAGCACTGGCAGCCTCCACGCGGTGTTGAGCCTGCGAGTGCACAGAAGTCTAGAATTGAGGTTTGGGAAACTCTACCTAAATTTCAGAGGATGTATAGAAACACTTGGATGTCCAGGCAGAAGTTTGCTGCATGGGTGGGGCTGTCATGGAGAACCTTTGCTAGGACTGTGCAGAAGGGAAATGTGGAGTTGGCACTCCCACTCAAAGAGTCCCTACTGGGGCACCACCTAGTGGAGCTGTGAGAAGAGGGTCACTGTCCTCCAGACCCCAGAATGGTAGATCCACTGACAGCTTGCACCGTGTGTCTGGAAAAGCCACAGACACTCAATGCCAGACCATGAAAGCAGCCAGGAGGGAGGTTGTACCCTGCAAAGCCACAGGGGTGGAGCTGCCTAAGACCATAGGAACTCACCTCTTGCTTCAGCGTGACCTGGATGTGAGACATGGACTCAAAGGAGATTATTTTGGAGTTTTAAGATTTGACTGCCCTACTGTATTTCAGAGTTGCATGGGGCCTGTAACCCCTTTGTTTTGGCTAATTTCTCTTATTTAGAACAGCAATATTTACCCAAGGCCAATTGACTTTGAAATGCAAGGACATGAGATTTGGGAGGGGCCAGGGGAGGTATGATATGGTTTGGCTGTGTCCCCATTCAAATCTCATATTGGATTGTACTCCCATAATTCCCACATGTTGTTTGAGGGACCTGGTGGGAGATAATTTGAATCATGAGGGCAGTTCCCATCATAGTGTTCTCATGGCAGTGAATGAGTCTCATGAGATTTGATGGTTTTATCAGGGGTTTCTGCTTTTGCATCTCTCATTTTCTCTTGCCACTGCCATGTAAGAAGTGCTTTTCACCTCCCGCCATGATTTTGAGGCCTCTCCAGCCATGTGGAACTGCAAGTCCAATTAAACCTCTTTTTCTCCCCAGTCTTGGGTATGTCTTTATCAGCAGTGTGAAAGTGGAGTAATACATTCTCCCCAAGACCCCCACTCTCTCTCTCTCTCATTCTCTCTGTCTCTCTCTCCCTCCCTCACTCTCTTTTTCCATCTCAAGCAGTATTCATGCAAAATACTAAGGCGTGAGAGGCACACCTAATCCCTTTCTACTGTTTATCACACAATTAGAAGTGTTAACTTTTTTATTATTCAGCTTAAAATATTTTCTAATTTTCAATATCATATCTTTGGTCAATGGTGTATGGAGAATTACATGTCTTAACTTCCAAATATGCAGAGGTTTCCAGTGATTTGATTTATTTTTGCTACTTGTTTAGGACTTAATTGTATTATAGTAACAGATTGCATGCTGTGGATTATTGGTATGTTTTTTAGTTACTAAAATTTGTAAAAATTAGTTTTTAGTTTAGGGTCAGTTTTTTAAAATTTGTGAATTCTCAGGGTGTGCTTATATAGAGTGTTGGCAGTGATATCATTAAAAATCAATGGTTGATATGTCCATGAAGTCAAGTTTTTAATAGTTTTCTCAAAGTATTGAGTCCTTTTTTTTCTGATTGACTTATCAGTTGTTGAGAGGATGAAATTTGACTACAACAGTGATGGTGGATTTTTCTATTTTCTCTTACATATAGCACCATCAGTTTTCACTTCTTGTATGGTGAGCCAATGCGATTGTTTATTAATTTATTTTTACAGTTTTATGTTCTTTTTAAATTTTTTTTTGCATATAAGTTGGTGTTATCAGATACATGTAGATAACAAAATGGTTAATAGAATGAAGCAAATGAACATATCCAGCATCTCACATAGTTAACCATTTTTTCTCCTTCGTGGCAAGAGCAGCTAATATCTACTCAATTAGCAAAAATCTTGAATACAGTATTAGTAACTATAGTCCTAATGTGGTACATTATATTTCTAGGTTTGTTTAGCCTATCTATCTGCTGCTTTATATCCTTTGACATATATCTCCCCATACCCTCTACCTTAATCCTAGTAACCACTGTTTCATTCTCTATCTCTGTATATTCAACCTTTTAATTTTTAGATTCCTTATATAAGTGATATAATACAACTTTTATTTTTATGTCTGGTTTATGTCACATAGCATAATGTCCTCCAGTTTCATTCATGTTGTGGCAAATGGCAAAATCTTTTTTTTTTTGGTATGGCTGGGTAATATTTCATTGTATATATGCATCACAGTTCCTTTATGTGTCAGTGGACACGTATTGCTTTCATATCTTGGGAATTGTGAATAATGTGCAATGAACATGGAAATGCAGATATCTTTACAAGGTGGTGATTTAATTTCTTTGGGGTATATACTCAGAATAGAGATTTCTGGGTCATATGATTAATTTATGTCCTTTATAAACAGTAAATTATTAAGCATTTATTTGTAATCTAACAAATTTTTTCTTTAAATTGGAGCTTTAATTTCATTTCCATTGAAATAGTCACTGACATACTTGCTTTTAAATCTATCATATTCTGTTTTTATTTGTCTTACTTGTTTGATGTTACCATATTTTTTCTTGGATTCCCTTCTGTTGATTATTTCAATATTTTATTTTTATGTGTTATAAATCTCTATGTTCTTATGGTATTCTTTCATTCATTGCCCTAGAAATTACAATATGTAATTTCTAATGTTGAATGATAATAGTCTAATGTTAATTGTTAATTCTACCTTCCTCCTGATCAATATAAGTACCTTAGAACACTCTATTTCCATTTACTGTTATTTACCCTCTTAAGATTATATGCCAATTTTACTGTATATTTTAACTATGTACTTGTGTGTGCATTTGCTATACATACTTGCATACATACATACACTTATGTATATTTGTGTATATGTGTACAATGTATAATTTCCACCAAAATATTGTTACTGTTTTACTAAAGAAAATTGTTATTTAGGTTTCCTCATGTAGCTACTATTTCATTGCTGTGCTTTGTCCTTTCATCTATGCACTCTCATCTGAGATCATTTATTGCTGAAGAAGAAATATGTTACTATTTAAATTGTACAAGTTTGTTGGTGGCAAATTCTCTGGTTTGACTGAATTGGTCTTTAGTTCACCTTCATTTTTGAAAGATTTTCATTTTGTATAGAATTCTAGATTGTACTTTTTTTTGGAATATTTGAGAACATCATTCAATTGCTTCTGGCTTACATTGCTGTTACTGAGAAATTATGTCAGTCCATCTCATGCTCCTCCCTAGAAATTTCTTTTTTCCCTACTTATAGTATGTTCTTTGTCTTTTTTATTTTTAAAAATTTCAAACATACAGAATATATACATATGTACTATATATTCAGATAGTATATACAGTTATATATATACTATTAATATATATATATAATTTCAAGTATAGATCTATATAAAATGATTGTATATACAGTTATATATATAAAACTATGCACATAATTTCAAGTTATATATATACAATTATATATACTATCATATATAGTAACTATATATCATATAGTAAATAAAAATATATATATAAAACTTGAAAATAAATTAAAGATGTGCAACTTCAGCCCTAGATACTTCAGTGTGTGTCTCCTAAGAATAAGGACATTCTCTTATGTAACTATAGTGCATTATTACTCTTAAGAAAAATAAACCTATATTATCTAATATCGATTCCATATTTTAAAATCCCAAATTATTTCAAAAATGTTTTCTATAGTGAATTTTCTTCTAATATGCATCTTTTAGGTTGGTAATGGGTTTTTCAATTTTATTTTACTATTTATCTTTGTATTTATTTTTCGCTATTTCATGTTGATATAATCACACATGAGAATTTGTTTTTGTTTGTCATTTTTAGAATTGATTGTAATATTGAATTTGTGGATTGATGTCTTTAATCAGTTTTGGAAACTCTAAGCTATTATTTATTTATGGTTTTTTCCATTTATTTTCTCTGTTCTGTTCTTCTGGCACTCTGATTCAATTTATGTTAGTTCCTTTCCCTCTGCTTTCTGTATCTCTTATAATCATATATATTTTTCTCTTTTTTGGTCTTTACACTTCCTTCTACAAAATCTCCAAGTTCATTAATTCTCAAGTTAGCTGTGTTTCATCTGCAGTTAAATCTGCCTATTTAGTTTTTTATTTGTATAAATTTAAGGAATACAAGTGCACTTTTGTTACATCCTTATACTGCATAGTGGTGAAGTCTTGGCTGTTAGTGTGTTCATCAACCAAATAATACATATTGAACCTATTAAGTAATTTCTCATTACCCTGCCCACTTCTTCCCCCCTGTGCTTCTGAATCTCTAGTGTCTGTAAATCAACACTGTATGTCCACATACATATTATTTGGCTCCCAATTATACACAGTGTTTAACTTTCTGTTTTGAGTTGTTTCACTTAAGATAATGGCATCCAATTCCATTTATGTTACTGCAAAAGACATGATTTTATTTTCTTATGGCTTAACAGTATTTCATTGTGGATATATACTTCATTTTCTTTATCCAGTTATCTGTTGATGGATACTTAAGTTGATTCTGTCTTTGCTACTGTGAACAGTGTTGTGATAAACATGTGAGTGAAGATACTTATTTTGATAAAATGACTTCCTTCAGATAGATACCCCATGTTGAGATTGCTAGTTTTTACTTTTATTTATTAAATATTTATTTTCTGGAAATTCTGTTTGATTTTATTTTAAATTTATAACATACCTCTTTAAATGTTACCAATTCCTGGCTAAAGTTTTTAGTTTCAAATTTTATCTTTATACATATTTGATATCTGTCTTTTTCTGATAATTTTCACTTCTGTACTCTTTCTGGGCCTTTGCCCATTTTCTTTTGTTTGTGTTGGTTCTGTTCATGTCATGTTATCTTTGCTTGTATACCTGCCATTGTGTGCTGCAGATTGTTATTAAAAATGCTTGAGGAAATAATTATATGTCTAAGATGATAATATCTGATTCTAAAGGGGATATTCTTTTGCTCTTTTAGATACCCAGAACATTGGAGATTTTAAAAATCACTTTAATCGTGTTTTAAGGCTTGGGATTGTTCTCGTCTACTCAGATGACTAGCAGCCTGGCTACCATCCATTGAGGGCTGCTTTCTTTTGGTATATCCTTACTCTTTTTCCATTTGACTACTCTTGACTCCACATTTCATCCCTGTAGCATGAGAGGTAATGAACATGCTGTGCAGTCCCTTTGTTGTCTCTTCCCGTGTTGGCAAGATGCCCCAAGGGTGAAAGCAAACCCAAATGCCAGACTTATCTCTCCAGAGTCACTCTTCTCTGGGACCTTGGCCGAGTGATTCCTCCTCTTCATTAGTCTTTTGTTGCTTTTAATAAGATTTTTAAGTATTAAATCAATTTGAAGGATTGGTTCAAATTATCCAGTTGGACAGTTTTGAAAACAGAATCTCTGCCCTAGTGTCAATCAATCATTAATTTAAAAACTTCACTTATATAAACTTTCAGGATTCTATATTTTGATGCTTTATGGATTCTATGATACTGTAGTTTTATCTTTGGCTTCTTCAACATAAGTCCTCATAATTATAAAAAACAACTTATGTTTTATTGTTACATATGTAAGACAATTTGACACTTTTATTAGACTCAGACTGTTCTAATCAAGACATCAGTTGATCATTTTTCAAGAAAATGTAGCCTAAATGTCATTTTTGTAAGCCTATCTCCAAGTACTCTACCTAATTATTTTTCAATCTCTGCTGCTTCTTCAGTATTTTGCTAATTTATAAATCACATTTACCATATTGTATTACCAACTATGTGTTTGAAAAGCAACTCTTCAATTATAAAGATTGAGTCTAAGACAGCATTTGGAATTTAGTAAGTCCACAGTAAGTGCTAAATAAATTATATATGTTTACTTCTAAGTCAGAAATCTTGACTGAGAACAATCAATTACATGACGTTGAATATATACTCCTTAAATAAAAAAGTCACAACCCAGTTGTGAAAGGCTTCTATATATGAATTTAGCTTTTTTTTCTGGTCATTTGAATATAGGATTGATTGATTGTTAAAGATCTGGATTAGTGACAGTATGATTTTAGGTTCATGAGAAAGACTCAGCTCTTATTGAAAACGGCGAAGAGACATTGCTCCTTCTGCATTAAGCACATGCATTATTCTCTGAATTGATTTAGTGTTTGAAATAAATAATAATGTAACACAGATGTTGTAGATGAAAATAACATAGTGTCAGGGTTTGTTCTTTGGCACCTTTTTTTTTTTTTTTTTAATCAGATCATCTCTTTCTGAGAAGATATAAAGACTCTCAGGCCAGGAAATTTCTATAGTCTGTTAGTTCACATCTTTCTGATACCAAACCCTATAACCCCTGCTAAATGTGTTGAGTCCCTGATTTTAATAATAGTATTTGGCTTCCCAGAAGCCTAAAAATGAGTAAATATGGTCTAATTTTACGAGGTGCAAACTTCAGTTTTCCTGTATCTCACCGAAGTGATCTAGGCTTTTGGTCATCTAAAGTCTATCCTGGTCTACTTGAAACTGGTACTTCTCTCATTGGGAGAAAAACGTTAAGTGCTTAATAAAACAAAAAAAAAAAAAAGAGGAGAAAGAAATATGTTTAGATTATTTGAAGCAGGTGGATCAAACCTTAGTCATGTGGCTTTCTTTTCTTTACTTCCCAAGACCACCACCATCTCAGTGCATCATTATAAAGACTCCTGTGGAACTTCACTTTCACAGAGACATTTAGAATGAATATATATTAAATACTGATGATGTCTTATTTTGCCCTCTTAGATCCCTAACCTTTAGGTAGCTATTGGTATTATGGCATAGTAAACATTTCTGTGTGTTGCATAAGAACTTTTAGATTCCATGTTTAAAACAAACATATTAGATATGCTCTGCTGAGAGCTTTTAGAGGTCCACGAAAGAAATCATTGTACTATTAGTTTTATGCAAAAGTGTCAATCAACCTATTCTTGATCATATTATTCAAACTTTTGTTGAATGATTCTAAATTGTCATTGAGTATCTTCTGTGGCAATGTAAATTTTTTCATACAGTGATTCTAATCCTTGAAAGCGAGTTTTCTTGGGTTTATTGGGAATTTAAATGTAAAATCTAAAAGGAGTCAAATCAAAATTTTTACAAATCAGGCACAACTCATGTACCTTTTGGCTAAGTAAGGATTAAAATGTTGAATCTAGTTGGGTTAAGATCAATCCAACATGCATGAACATCTTTATAAAGTACAAAATCTTTAAAATTAAAAGCTATATATTATGAGAAATATTTCTTTTTATAGGTGTTATTTCTGAATGTGATACCAACTTCACGGAAATATAGTTTATGACATATAAACAATCATAGAGTATCATATTAATCTTTTCCTGTACTGTATTAATATTTACATTGATTATCTCTCATTTAAGTAAGATCCCAATTTAATGAAGGTAATACCTGTTTGCAACTTTGGCTTCTTCAACATAAGTCCTCATGATTATAAAACCTATGATTCTGAAAATCTATGATTTATTAAAGATTGTATTTCATAATCGGGCTGATCACTGGTATTCTGGAGTTATGAAACCAAAATTATAAAAACATTGTTTATTCCGGTGGGTTGAGAAGATTATGGGAAGATACATAAACAGAATAATTTAAATAACCTAAGGAAGTAATTATTTTCTAATTTAAATATTATATGTATTATTTTTAAAAGGCGTATTTTTTTATTGTGGTTGGGGCTGGCATCTTCACAATGTCTCCTATTTCTTTTCATGTGAAAGATCCTCCAATGACTTAAAGCTCCAGAGTGCTCTCCAGTTTCTCAGTTCCTTCTATCTGCAGGGAGGAGTGGCTTATATGGTTGAGTTGGAGGAAGGAGCTGAGTAATCATAACCAGTCTCTATCTCCTTCCGTCTACAGTAAGCTACTCTCCCATAGGAAAGGTGTATTTTGCTCTGCACCTTCATGCTCTGGATTGTAATGGGCAACACTCTTCATGCAAGTGAGGATATATTGCACTGCATGTGGGTAGGTGAGGGGGGACATATGTCTAATTCTAGAGCTCAGAATTGGAAAACTCTCTTGTGTATATAAGTTATATTTTTTTAGTTTCTTTTACAGTAATAATCTGATATTTTTGTCTTTCTGCTGCTTCACTGTTATTTTTCAACTGGTTCTGACTTCCCATAGAGAAAAGGTATGCTACCTGTTAGACAGACCTCTGTTAGCTTTCTAAGGAAACAATGGAAAATTCAACAAAACTGTTGAGATTTTGGATGGATTTTAAATTTTTTTATCTTATGTCTTGATTTGTATGTATACTTCTGTCCTTAAGTAACTGAATGAATAAAAATGTGAATGTCAAATGAAGAAGAACGTACAGTTGGAATTGTTGATAGAAGAGACAAAAGCTTTCAGCTCTTCAGCTTTGGAAGAAATAAAGGAAAATTGATTATTGTGATATGTTACAGAAAGAAGAAAAGCATATGTGAGACGTACTTAGCATCCAGCTAGTTTCGCTGCTCTGGGTAAAATCTGTATGTGACAGAGACTTGTTGGATGATGCTCATCCAGTTTCCTCTTTTGAGCACAGAGAAAAATCTACCTTCCTAGGTCTCCCTTTCAGATAAATTGCAGTCATGTGAATGAGTTCTGGTCAGAGAGATGTGGGTAAAAATATTGTTTGTCCACTTCCAGTCCTGCTTCTGTTTCTTTTTCAGTGCCCTCAAGTGGCTGTTTTTCTTGATTATGTCTTGGGCTTACTTTTGTTATCTGTGGGAGGATTGGTCTGGTTAGGTCTTAGCCATTAAAAACAGTCAACTTTTAAATGGGTGTATAATTTTTGTAAGTTACTATTTCTAGGAAATTTTATCCTCTGAAATTTCCTATTATTACAGTTTTCTAGGGTCATGATTCTTAGTATTTAAAAAACTAATAATACATTAATTTCATACTTACCTGCATTGTTATAATCATTAATGGCTGTTCTAATTTGATATATAATCCTTTCCTGTATATGGAAGAATGATATAAAATGTCTATACTGTGGTTGAAAAAGTAAAGGGTATATCAGCAGTCACAACATCAATATACTTTGCACAAAGAAATTTTGCCATGGATGGATTTTCAGAAATATAAATCAAATCTCAAGAGTAAACAAGTGAAGCATCAGAAAGATTTGAACATACAGAGAGACCTGCAAGAGATAGAAGATAAAGCTGTTCAATTTGCCATGGATAAAATATTAGTTTGTTAGCTATTTTCTAAATAAATTTTATACTTAAATGGCTAAATATTTTATCATCATGTATTTCTCTTGCTAGAAAATCTATTTGAGAAAACAAACACACATGTATTAGAAGTTGGCTAAGATACTTCATTCTTTTTTTTTTTTTTTTTTTTTTTTTTTTTTGAGATGGAGTCTCGCTCTGTCACCCAGGCTGGAGTGCAGTGGCGTGATCTCGGCTCACTGCAAGCTCCGCCTCCTGGGTTCACGCCATCCTCCTGCCTCAGCCTCCGGAATAGCTGGGACTACGGGTGTCCACCACCATGCCTGGCTAATTTTTTGCATTTTTAGTAGAGACGGGGTTGCACCGTGTTAGCCAGGATGGTCTTGATCTCCTGACCTTGTGATCCGACCGTCTCAGCCTCCCATTCTTTATTTTAATAAGGATACCATGCCCCAGACTTGATTCATCTCTGAAATATGACTACAGTTTGGTTTCTTCTTTCCCCATGATTCTGCTAAGTATTTTCTATCAAGGTTAGCCCTTCCAACATTCTATCCCTGCTGAAAGCCTTTCTTACTTTCACTTTTCCGATTTTCGTTTGATTTTTAAGACTTTTATCTTTTCATTAACCTTCATGATCCCCCCTCTGCTGGATCCCTAAAAGAGGTGGGGATCCACAGACCCCTATTCTCAGAATTTTTTTTTTCATATTCTGCGCTATGCAACTGCAACCTCAATCTCGGGACATAAAAAACACTTTGGCATCTTCTCCCCCAAACTTGCTTCTACTCTTGAGTTTTCTCTCTCAAATAATCATCTCAATGAAAGGCAAAAAAATATTGAAACTGAGAAGGTACTTATCTTATAATCACATTATCAATGCCCCAGCATTATATTGATAGCTATTATGAACGGATTAAAATTTCCCCTTCTGTTTATTTCTGGAATCCTACACTTGCTACGTCTGCTGACTTGGATGAGCCAGGTAGCAATATTTCTTTTTTCTGAACTGATCTCTGAATAGCTTTTTTTACACTCTCCCCTGTCTTTAAGTCTTCCATATTCTACTGAAATATTTAATCACTTTATTCATATATCTAAATCTTCTAGTAGGTGATTTTCTAGTACAGATCCTGGTACATGTTATGCACCCCCTTCCCTCTCTCCCCCATCCAGTCTTCCTGTATTAGTTTGCTAGGGCTGCCTTAACTAACTACCAAAAACTGTATAGTTTAAAACGACAAAGATTTATTGTATTACAGTTCTGGAGGCCAGAAGTCTGAAACTAAGGTGCTGGCAGGGCTATGCTCTCTCTGAAGGCACTAGGGAAGAATCTGTTGCTCTGTGCCTCTCTCCTAGCTTTTGGTAATCTCAAGTATTCTTTGACATGTAGTTGCATCATTCTAATCCTCTGTCTTCACATGGCATTCTCTCTTTGCTTGTCTGTCCTCTTTTTATAAGGACACTAGTCATGTTGGATTAAAGGTCCACCCTATTCCAATATGGCCTTATCCTTTTAACTTTACTAACTACAACTCCAATAATACTATTTCCAAAAAGGTCATATTCTGAGGTACTTAGAGGGTTAGAACTTTAATGTATTAATATATTTCAGGGGGAACACAATTCAACCCATACCATCTCCCTCTCTCCCCTTTCCTCCTTATCTCTCATATACTTAAATCTTATATCTCTCTATTATTCATTTATCTCTCTCTCTCACTCTCTCTCTCCCTCTGTATGTATATACATATATGGTATAATATTTTATGTATTTCATATGTGTGTGATTGAACACTTTTTAGTTTGTGTTTTACATATATTATGTATAGCATTTACCTACCTATATATGTAACATATATAGGAGATGAAAGTTCTACATTGAATTTGACTTAGCCTTTCTCTAGAGCAAATCAGCACACAGAGCACAGAGTTTAGAGTTATTTGTTCTCACCATTTAGTTCCCTATGAATAAGAACATGTGGTATTTGCTTTTCTGTTCCTGCATTAGTTTGCTAAGGATAATGGCCTCCAGCTCCATCCATGTACCTGCAAAGGACATGATCTCATTCTTTTTTATGGCTGCATAGTATTCCATTGTGTATATGTACTACATTTTCTTTATCCAGTCTACCACTGATGGACATTTAGGTTGATTCCATGTCTTTACTATTGTGAGTAGTGTTGTGATGAACATACGTGTGCATGTATCTTTATAATAGAATGATTTATATTCCTTTGGGTATATACCCAGAAATAGAATTGGTGGGTTAAATGATGTTTCTCTCTTGAGGTCTTTCAGGTATCGCCCCACTGTCTTCCACAATGGTTGAACTAATTTACATTCCCACCAACAGTGTATAAGAGTTCCTTTTCTTCCACAATCTTGCAAGTGCCGTGAAACAAACCTGCACATGTATTCCTGAACTTAAAATAAATGTTTTTTTAAAAAGTCATTTGAACCAGTATTCAAAAATATCATCATCACAAGTAATTAGTCTAGAGTTTAGTATCTCTGTCAGCCATTAATCCTCGTATAATGTTAATGTGACCCAACTGACAATATAGATATACAAATAACTTTTATTTTTGTAAAGGAAAACATTTCATCTCTTATCAACCAGAAATCATGTTATCAAATAAAATGTGGTTCCACATGATGTCACAATGTTTATTTTCCAAAAGATTGTTAATTTATATATATTAACTAATGCATTATTAGTCTATGTAACAATAATATTTCCACTTCAACTATTTCTGCATAACTCTGGAAACTAAATTTAGGCAAACTTCTAAACCTTAGATTTGATCATTTTATTTATATAATATCCTGCTTGTAAAATAATTTAATGATCCCAGGTGATGTTATAAATTAAGGAGTACAGATTATCTGTTTTGGTAGAGACTAACTTATAATTACAGGAATTTAAATGCTTTATTTATGGTGTAGCCTTGTTTTTTCTGGTGTATTGTATCCCACTATAAGGCATAAACTAAAAGGGATCATTTGGAACTGTGTATGGGTGTTTGAACATATGTATATTTAGGAAGGAAAAAAGAAAAAGAATTTAGGTTGGGTTTGACATTTGGATAGCTTTATTTCATTTTTTAGTATTTATTATAAATGAAACCTTATAGTCCATTAAACTATTATTAAGAAAGCTTCACTGGCTTTCTGGTCTGTACTCAGCCTCACTTTCTTATCTTTATTTTAGAGGGTAACTCTCTGAGAATTGCCTAACCTCATCTTTAATATCAATGAATTAAATTAATGATTATGTTATTATTTATTGAATCAGAGTGTTAATTTAACTATTCATATTCAGGTTTCTCTGTTAAAATAATGTGTTCTGTGAATAATTCTTAATTGGAAAAATGTGAATAAATAAGATATTTATAGAAAAGGAATAATCTGTTTACTGGTGATTTTAAGAATGCTAGAATAGCCTGTAATCCCAGCACTTTGGGAGGCCGAGGAGGGCGGATCACCTGAGGTCAGGAGTTCTAGACCAGCCTGGCCAACATGGTGAAACCCCATCTCTACTAAAAATACAAAAATTAGCCGGGTGTGGTGGTGTGTGCCTGTAATCCCAGTGACTCTGGGGGCCGAGGCAGGATAATTGCTTGAACCTGGGAGGCGGAGTTTGCAATGAGCCAAGATTGTGCCATCAAACTCCAGCCTAGGGGACAAGAGCGAGACTTCGTCTTGAAAAAAAAAAAAAAAAAAAGAATGCTAGAATAATGTGCCTTTTATTTTCCTTTAGCAGCTAGTATGTGTTAAGTGTCAGAAATATATTATTTCTGCTTATCAGAACTAAATCTGAGAGTTCTGAGGAACATCTTCTTTATTTTATATTCTTCCACCTAAAAAATAGGTGGTCGTGAGATTCTTTGATAATATACTTTTTTAGCAGATTAACAAAAGCACAGATATTTTCAATTTTTCTTACTTAGGATGTATTAGGGTTTTCTAGAGGGACAGAACAAGTAGGATAGATGTATATATGAAGGGGAGTTTATTAAGAAGTATTGACTCACAGAATCACAAGATGAAGTACCTCAATAGGCCATCCACAAGCTGAGGATCAAGGAAGCTAGTCTGAGTCCCAAAACTACAAAAGTAGGGAAGCCAATAGTGCAGCCTTCAGTGTGTGGTCAAAGGCTTGAGAGCTCCTGGCAAATCACTGGTGTGAATTCAAGAGTCCAAAAGCTAAAGAACTTGGAGTATGATGTTCGAGGGCAGGAAGCATCATGCACAGGAGAAAGATGAAGGCTGGAAGACTCAGCAAGTCTAGTTCTTCCAACTTCTTCTGCCTACTTTATTGTAACCAAGCTGGCAGCTGATTAGAGGGTGCCAATCCAGATTGAGGGTGGGTCTGCCTCTCCCAGTCCACTGATTCAAATGTAATCTCCCTTGGCAACACCTTCATAAACACACCCAGGAACGATACTTTGCAGCCTTCAATATAATCAAGTTGGCAATATTAACCATCACATAGGGCATATTAGTTCTAAATGGCAATCTGTGTAGCATTCTCAATTTATAATGGTAACATGGTAGTGACGGGTATGTGTGTGTTGATGTGTGTATACACGCAAACACATCTATATACATATGGAACATGGAGAGCTTACACAATTCATTGAGAAATGGGCTGTAAATCACAAAAATGAAGCTCATTTCCTTTAACAAAATATGTTCTGCCTCTGTTTTTTCTGTCTTTAATTGTTCTCTTCAAATCTTTTTCTCTTTTGACTTTGTTATTTCCACTACCAAAAGAGGAGTGGTAGGGGAAAGAGATATTGAAAAGTATGTTTCTATTTTTCCTTTTCTAAGGAATTATTTACTGCTTTATGCTGTCAAAACTACAGTTCCCTTTAATCAGGTTATTTGGCTTTCTGTGACTGAGTTGTTGGAGCTCTTTATAAATTTTGAATATTAACCTTTATCAGATATGTGGCTAAGAAGTATGTTTCCCCATCTGTAAGTTGTCTTTTTATTTCATTGATTGTTTCCTTTGTTGTGCAGAAGCTTTTTAGTTTGATGTAGTCCCATTTATTTATTTTTTGCTTTTGTAGCCTGAGCTTGTGGTGTGATATACAAAAAATCATTGCCAAGGTCCATGTCAAGGGGCTTTTCCCCTATGGACAAAGACCTGAATAGATATTTCTCCAAATAAGACATGCAGATGGCCAATATCTATGAAACGGTTCTCAACGTCACTAATCATCAGAGAAATGCAAGTTGAAACCACTATCAGATACCACCTAACACTCATTAGGATGGCTATTATAAAAATGACAAGAGATAACAAATGTTGGCAAGGGTGTGGATAAAAGTGAATCCTAGTATACTCTTGGTAGGAATGTAAACTGGCACAGCCATTATGGAAAACAGTATGGAGGTTTTTAAATAAATTAAAAATAGAGCCATTATACTAACCAGCAAGCCCCCTTCTGAATATATACCCAAAAGAGGTGAAATAACCACCTCATAAAGGTATCTGCATTCCCATGTTCATTGCAGCATTATTCACACCAGGCTAGATACTGAAACTACCTCAGTGTCCATCAGTGCACAAATAGATAAAGAAAATGTGGTAATATGTGTACATATACAATAATATTTTACTGTTGTTTTTCACTTTTAAAAAGGAGATCCTATCTGACAAGATGGTGTGCCCTGTAGTCCCAGCTACTTGGGAGGCTGAAGCATGAGGACCATTTGAGACCAGGAGTTCAGGACTGTAGCGCACTATGATTGTGCTTGTGAATAGCACTGCACTCAAGCCTGTGCAACAAAGGGAGACCTTGTCTGTAAAAAACAAGAAAAAAATTTGTAGATATTGCCATTTGTTACTACATGGATGAACATGGAGGACATCATGCTAAGTGAAATAAGCCAGATACAGAAATAAAAATATTACCTGATCTCACTTCTATATAGAATATAATTCAACTATACAGATATAGAGAATGAAGCAGCATTTACCATGGGTGAGAGGGGGCAGAGAAAATGAGGAGATGTGGGTCAAAGTCTATAAAATAGCAGATGTGTAGGATGAACACATTTAGAGATCTAATGTACAACAAAAGGCTAATAAAATTGTATTAGAGATTTTTGTCAAATAAGATTTTAGTTGCTCTTGTCAAAAAAATAAGTAACTATGTGAGATGATGTGTATGTTATTTTGCCTCACTATAGGAACCGTCTTAGTATCTATATGTATTCCTTAACATCATATTGTAAACATCAAATATAGATAATATAATTATTTTTTAAAAAATCCAGTATCGTTTTAATCTTTGTATGGAATGCTTCTCAAAATATAGAGATGACATTAGGTTTAGCCATATGACAATCAATGGGGTTGACAGATGTCAAAGGCAGCTTATCCTGTTGTAATATCACTTAGCTAACAGTAAAGAGCTTTGTGGATTCCTATTAAATGTTCTTGTTTTATTATGTGTATCTTTTATTAGTTGCAAGTTTTTTGAACTTAAAATTCACATGGATTTTTACTTTGGCTTTAGGCAGTTTGTAAGATAAATTGGTACAGGTTTTACATACTCACCTTCAGGGCTAAGTAGGTATCAGGTTTTGTAATGTAATGGCTCTGGTTTCTTTTACAGTTTATAAGCTTAAACTGGTAGGTCCAGGAGTCTTGTTTATCGTATAAACCACATCAGCCTTTGCATTTGTGGATAAAGCAGACATTGATAATACATACTGAAGTATAGCAGACCCTTTAAAATCATTAATTTTGATATTATTAGTGTATTTATATGTACATATGTGATTTTCTAATTTTTATATAATGCTTTATCATTTACAGAATCTTTACACTTTTTTCCTCTGATTTTCTTAACATAGACATGATTCTGTTTTATAATTTAGAAAATTAGATGTTGAACAAGTTTAAAAGAAAAATGCAACTCACAGATAGGAAGTATCACAGCTAGGATAGCTACTTAACCCTACAAAATTAAAGTCTTACAGGATTAAAGTTCATTGCTTTTTTCATACATTACATTGTGATGTTTTTATGCACACACACATCTGCAGGCATGTATATGTACCTGTACATGTAAGTTTGAAGAGAGAAGATACGGACTTTTTTTATTCTTGGGAATGAATCTTAGGATTGAAATTTCAAGTTAAAACAAATTAAGGAATTTTTACTGAAGTCAAACTTTATTCTTCATCACAAGCACTGAAAAACAAAATATTCTTTAGCTTCTGTCCCCAGTTCTTGTCCTCATATACTGTCCACGTAAGAGTCATTATTGCCACACATATACGTGACTTATAAAGGAACAAACTAAAACAGAAATTTGGGACAGAAAAACAGATATAGAATCATAAAGAATTGAAACTTACTGGGAAGAGTAATTAATTATGTTAGTATTATCAAAATTATTCCTGACTTGAAAATCTTATTATAGTTTTTATTTCTATATTTATAAGGAATATCCGAAAGCATCACTCTTCCTATTTTATTGAAGGTACTTAAACATTTAAACAAATGAAAGAATAGTGAAATATATTAGAATATTCAGCAAAAATAGAACTCAACATAATATTAGTGTTTAGAATTTTCTAAACACAAGTGGCCTTATTAATAACAAGGCATCTGAGAATGCCATTTATTTACAATCAATGGATTCAATCAATATATGTTTCAGTTTCTTTTTACCAAAGAACGTTTTGAGAAAAGCTACACAGTTAGAGATGTCCTTTGTGAGCATTTTCTAGATTTATTATGACCTGTTTGTGCATAAACATTTAGGTTGAAAAATGAAACCTCAGTAGACTTGCTCAATGAACTCTACTTATCATGTTAATGATTTTCTAAATTTATGCATAGTTTTGAAAATTAAATGGATATTCTGTTGAAGATACTTTTAGTGAGGTTCTCTGTTGTATACGGACTCTTCAGTCTCCAACAAGTATTTTAAATAGCATGAATGGATGTTTATTTCTAATATGTAAACCATATTATTATTCACTGTTAAGCATTTGACCATTTCCTCTTAAGCTCCTTCAGCAAGCTGGCTTCTCTTCTCTTCAACTAAAATTCATCATTTCCCAATTTTTTGCTATTGATCCTTTTTTGCTTTTGCCATACTTCTTGGATGCTCAAGTTCCCAAAGCCAAATTCTCCATCCCAGCAAACCTGCTCTTTCGCTTTCATTTCCTGTCACAGTTAATATAATCACAAAGTATTCAGTAATCCATGATAGACAGTTTGATATGATCCTACACACAATCTTGTCTACCATTCCCTATATTCTAAGATGTGCAGATTTTATTTGAGGCATGGGAGGAGGAAACTTGCTGAGAAAGGAAACCTGTCTTCATCCTGTCTTATTTTTCATTAATTTTTGCCTCACCCTGCATCTCTACTCTTTTCTTTTCTCTCTAATGCACAGATTCTGTCTTTCCTGTGTCCTGACCATCAGCTGGTCCTGAAATTAAATCTGGGCTTATCCAAAGGGAAGGAGACCCGTAGTAGGTTTTAACCTGTGATTTCTGTCTAGTTGGACAGAATGCTTTATTGTTATTTGGGGCACAAACACAGCCAGTAATAAAGAAGACCGTACTTTGTGTTGTCATTGAATCTTATAAATTTGGGGATCTAATAGGAAAGATATGGTGGCTGAGTAAGGCTAGATTCAAATATTTCTGGGTCCCTTAACCATAATACTGTCAAGAACTATAAATATCTTTCATTTTGCCTCACTTGTGTACTAACAAGTTAGCCTGCCACATTTTTATGGACATTGTCAGAATACATAAAGCTCCTGGGTCATTAATGAAAGACTTTATTACTCATAGTAGTAGCAGTAGCCAGAGTATTAGCATTTGTGCCAATTCCCTAAATTCCAGGTCCCACAAGGTATTTTGAAATGGACCACATGATTCCTGACCATGCAGTGGCTTATGTTACACAAGATGAACTTCAAGTTTAGGCAATCTGAATGTTTTAAAATTGGCAGTAAGCTGATTGACTTTGCCCCAAAAGAAGATATGATCTTCGTTATATTAATTAATTAACAAACATTCCCTTTGCTCCAGAGGAAGACACTATTTCTGTCCTCTGAGGCTGTTTCCTACATACTGTTGACCCTTGAATAACATGGGCTTGAACTACATAGGCCCATTTATACATTTTTTTTTTAACAAAATACACATGGAAAATACAATAATCACAGGATGTGAAACCTGCATATAGTGAGGACCAACTTTTTGTATATGCTGATTCCTCACAGTCATGGGTTGAGTATACACTGGAGTTCTGGTACCAACCCATAATTTGTACCAAAAGACCACAGTAAACATCTTCAAAAAATTAGTCTGGAATAAAAGCAGTCAATACCTTTTCTCCTAAAAAGTACAGAAACATGAGAGGATATCTAGCATTCTAATACCGGTTGGGCATCCCAAATCTGAAAATCCAAAATCTGAAATGCTCCAAAATAGGTTACTTTTTGAGTGCTGACGTGGTGCTTAAAGAGAACGCTCACTGAAACATTTTGCAGATGTTTAGATTTTGGATGCTCATCTTTAAGTATAATGCAAATATTTCTAAACCGAAAAAGTCCCAAATCCAAAACTCTTCTGGTCCCAACCAGTTTTGGACAAGGGATACTCAACTTGTAATATCCAGTTTACCTCATTGCATAAAGCTACTTTCCATGGATTTCATGAATCAGTTCTTTGCTAAGCAAACTCATTGTTGCAGTCTTAGTTTTAGCACTGACATATTGCAGTGCATTCCAACAGATCTTTGATATCACTTCATCCTCTTTTAGTAAGTTTCCAATAATTTTATATTGCCTCATGTCATAATCCATTTGTGTTGCTACAAAGGAATGCCTGAGGCATGATATTTGTAAACAAAAGAGATTTATTTGGCTCACAGTTCCACAGGCTGTACAAGGAAGATGACACCAGCATCTGCTTCTGGTGAGGGCCTCAAGCTGCTTCCACTCATGGTGGAAGGGGATGGGGAGCTGGGATGTGCAGATCACATGAGAGAAGCAAGCGGAGCAGAGGGGAAGGCAGGCACTTTTTAACAACCAGCTCTCATGTGAATTAATAGAGTGAGAACTTATTTGTTACCACAGGGAAGGCACCAAGCCATTCTTGGGACCTCTGCCCCCATAATCCAAACGTCTGCCATTAGGCCTTCCAGAATTTGGCACTGAATTTCAACATAATGTTCGGGAGGACAAACATCAAAAGTATAGCACTTGGTATGTAGGAAGTGCCAAATAAATGCTAGTTATAGCTGTTTCTCAGTTAATAATCTGATCTTGCCAATTCCCTCCAGTATTCCGTCTTAAACGTAACTTTTATATAAAGTCTTTTATGATTCAGCTATGGCTACCCCTTGTGCACTCCTGACCTGCATTGGATAACCTCATATGGATGCTTCAAACATCTCAAGCTCATAACATCTTACACAAATCTCCTGGTTCTCCTCCCTCCTTTCCCCCACCCACAAGATGCACACTCATTCTTTCACAGTGCTCCTGTTCTGAGTGAATTTTATGCAACTACCAGTGGTGCAAAACAAAAACACAGAAGTCTTTTATTATATATTCCTCTTTTCTGCCCATTAGTATTTTGAAATTTATCTTCTAAATAAATATCAAGTTATTTCACTTCTCTCCATTACCACCCTAGTCCAAACCATCATTAGCTCTTCTCTTTCCTGAAACATTGCACTGGCATCCTATCTGTAGCCCTGCCCTCCCACCGCCCCAACATGTATTTCAGTTTTTCTAGGTAAATATGCTCATGTTAACTTCTTTAAAATATTCCCTAACATCCCATTGCCATGAGGATGAAGACAAAACTCCTTACCACATCCTAAAATTACCTGCAAGATGTTTTTCCTGGATACCTCTCCACTCTCCTCCCACGCTTGCTTCCCCTGGCTCCTTCTACTGCAGATTCACTTCACTGGTCCTTCAATAAATTTTACTGAACAATAATTGTATTCCAAGAGCTGGGGTTATAGCAGTAAACAAAGACAGCAAACATTCATGTCCTCAGAGATTGCATTCTTTTGAGGAAAGACAGACAGGAAATAATAAAATACAATCAATTATAGTTGCTATGACCTTTTCTGCCATAAGCTGATCACACATGCTGTTTTTACTTCCTGGAATAAATTTTCATACCCTTTTCACACAGTTGTCTCATCCCTCATTTCTCAGAACAGGGATCCCTTGCTTGAGATTGCCTCCTTTGAAATCATAGACTGAACCCATTCACTGTAAACTCTCACAGAACCATGTACTTTTCTTTAGTGGCACTTACCATGATCATGACTTTGTATTGAGTTATGTATTAATAGATTTATATTTGTCTTACCAAGCAGACCATAAGGAACTACTTTGGTTTTCCTTTTCCATAACATATCTTGGGTCTAGGATGAATACCACATAACAGTAGACTACCCAAGGCTAGAGACTTTGTTCTATTTTATTCACTGATGTGTCCCAGTCAGCTAGTCAGTAGGGAGAAAAAAAAAATCTCTCTCTCTGTTTTTCTCTTTCTGTATTATACAGCATAATACTTTTGTCTTATGATTGCATATGATGTATTGTGTGAGTATACTGAAAATATTTTAAAAGGAAACTGGGAAAATTGAGCAATGTCTTAGATATATAAAGATAAAAACTTTTGAGATTAAGGATGTTACACAGTTTCTATGTTTTTAGGTTACCAACAGATGATGAGTTGGATTGGAAGGTCAAATATTAGTCACAGTTGGTGTGGGAGTCTCTAAGAACACAGTCTCTAAAGAATTCATTTCAAAATTCTTATTTACTGATTACACATATTTGAGAATGGTATAACGTGTTTTAAACTGCTATTTTCAATTAAAATAGAATTTGTATACTTGTTTGAAGTGCATAGTCAGAATAAATACAAGTCCTATACCCAATTACAATTTCTCTGTAAGATTATTTTCACGTATTATATGCTTGAAAACTACTTTTTAAAAAATGAATATTTATTGTTTCTTCATTTAAGTAATTACTTAGAGTTTTCAACCCTAAAGGTTATTTATAGATAATTTTTACATATCCATAAGAATAAATATTTCTGAAATCCAGGAGATATATTTCATATGCTCTAAATATTTATGTCTTTAATCTTACGAACGTGCGTAACTTTGAATTGTGTAAACATTGACATGTCTATTGTCATGTCAATAGTCTATTGATGATGATCTATTTTAAATAAAAATGAATATTATCTATTTTTAATAAAAATGACTTATTTGCCCCACTAGCTTAAGGTATTAGGCACAAATGACTATATAATAGTTTATGGTCTTTTAAAGTCATGGAACAAATTATTTTATTCTTCTAACCAATTTTTTTCCAAAGCGAAAGTGAAACTTTGAATTTGCAAATTAGTTTTGTAAGAAGCATGTATTTTTCTACCTGTAGCTCACTGTCTTCTATTGTTAATATACTTGGTAGATTTCATTTGTGAAATTTGTTAGAAGCGTGTATTTTCTATGTGTACCTCATTGTCTCCTATTTATATGCTAGGTAAATTTCATTTATGCACAGTCATAAAATACTTTGGATATTTTAATAAAAACTACACACTAATATTCTAAGCATGTTAAATGATTCACAGCCCCTTCTTACAACTTTCAAAATGCCTTTCAAATGTCTGCCACATCTATTACATTCTAACTATACCTTTTCTGTTCTATTTTAGTATAAGCTTTCTTTCTTCTGTTTATATCAGCATTAGAATTCTTGTCCCTACTCTAAAATTTTTTTTAATAATACTTGAAGTTTTAGGGTACATGTGCACAACATGCAGGTTTGTTATATATGTATACATGTACCATGTTGGTGTGCTGCACCCATTAACTCACCATTTAATATTAGGTATATCTCCTAATGCTATCTCTCCCTGCTCCCCTCACCCCAAACAGGCCCCAGTGTGTGATGCTCCCCTTCCTGTGTCCATGTGTTCTCATTGTTCAAGTCCCACCTATGAGTGAGAACACGCGGTGTTTGGTTTTTTGTCCTTGCGATAGTTTGCTGAGAATGATGGTTTCCAGCTTCATCCATGCCCCTACAAAGAACATGAACTCATCATTTTTTATGGCTGCATAGTATTCCATGGTGTATATGTGCCACATTTTCTTAATCCAGTCTATCATTGTTGGACATTTGGGTTGGTTCCAAGTCTTTGCTATTGTGAGTAGTGCCACAATAAACATACATGTGCATGTGTCCTTATAGCAGCATGATTTATAATCCTTTGGGTATATACCCAGTAATGGGATGGCTGCGTCAAATGGTATTTCTAGTTCTAGATCCCTGAAGAATCACCACACTGACTTCCACAATGGTTGAACTAGTTTATGGTCCCACCAACAGTGTAAAAATGTTCCCATTTCTCCACATCCTCTCCAGCACCTATTGTTTCCTGACTTTTTAATGATCGCCATTCTAACTGGTGTGAGATGGTATCTCATTGTGGTTTTGATGTGCATTTCTCTGATGGCCGGTGATGATAAGCATTTTTCATGTGTCTTTTGGCTGCATAAATGTCTTCCTTTGAGAAGTGTCTGTTCATATCCTTCACCCACTTGTTGATGGGGTTGTTTGTTTTTTTCTTGTAAATTTGTTTGAGTTCATTGTAGATTCTGGATATTAGCCCTTTGTCAGATGAGTAGATTGCAGAAATTTTCTCCCATTCTGTCAGTTGCCTGTTCACTCTGATGGTAGTTTCTTTTGCTGTGCAGAAGCTCTTTAGTTTAATTAGATCCCATTTGTCAATTTTGGCTTCTGTTGCCATTGCTTTTGATATTTTAGACATGAAGTCCTTGCCCATGCCTATGTCCTGAGTGGTATTGCCTAGGTTTGCTTCTAGGGTTTTTATGGTTTTAGGTCTAACATGTAAGTCTTTAATCCATCTTGAATTAATTTTTGTATAAGGTGTAAGGAAGGGATCCAGTTTCAGCTTTCTACATATGGCTAGCCAGTTTTCCCAGCACCATTTATTAAATAGGGAATCCTTTCTCCATTTCTTGTTTTTGTCAGGCTTGTCAAAGATCAGATAGTTGTAGATATGTGGCATTATTTCTGAGGGCTCTGTTCTGTTCCATTGATCTATATCTCTTTTTTAGTACCAGTACCATGCTGTTTTGGTTGCTGTAGCCTTGTAGTATAGTTTGAAGTCAGGTAGCGTGATGCCTCCATCTTTCTTCTTTTGGCTTAGGATTGACTTGGCAATGCGGGCTCTTTTTTGGTTCCATGTGAACTTTAAAGTAGTTTTTTCGAATTCTGTGAAGAAAGTCATTGGTAGCTTGATGGGGATGGCATTGAATCTCTAAATTACCTTGGGCAGTATGGCCGTTTTCACGATATTGAGTCTTCCTACCCATGAGCATGGAATTTTCTTCCATTTGTTTATATCCTCTTTTATTTCATTGAGCAGTGGTTTGTAGTTCTCCTTGAAGAGGTCTTTCACATCCCTTGTAAGTTGGATTCCTAGGTATTTTATTCTCTTTGAAGTAATTGTGAATGGGAGTTCACTCATAATTTGGCTCTCTGTCTGTTATTGATGTATAAGAACGCTTGTGATTTTTGCACATTGATTTTGTATCCTGAGACTTTGCTGATGTTGCCTATCAGCTTAAGGAGATTTTGGGCTGAGACAAGGGGGTTTTCTAGATATACAATCATGTCATCTGCAAACAGGGACAATTTGACTTCCTTTTTTCCTAATTGAATGACCTTTATTTCCTTCTCCTGCCTGATTGCCCTGGCCAGAACTTCCAACACTATGTTGAATAGGAGTGGTGAGAGAGGGCCTCCATGTCTTGTGCCAGTTTTCAAAGGGAATGCTTCCAGTTTTTGCCCATCCAATATGATACTGATTGTGGGTCTGTCATAGACAGCTGTTATTATTTTGAAATACGTCCCATTAATACCTAAGTTATTGAGAGTTTTTAGCATGAAGGGCTGTTGAATTTTGTCTAACGCCTTTTCTGCATCTATTGAGATAATCATGTGGTTTTTGTCTTTGGTTCTGTTTATATGCTGGATTACTTTTATTGATTTGTGAGTGTTGAACCAGCCTCGCTTCCCAGGGATGAAGCCCACTTGATCATGGTGGATAAGCTTTTTGATGTGCTGCTGGATTCGGTTTGCCAGTATTTTATTGAGGATTTTTGCATCAATGTTCATCAGGGATATTGGTCTAAAATTCTCTTTTTTCTGTTGTGTCTCTGCCAGGCTTTGGTATCAGGATGTTGCTGGCCTCATAAAATGAGTTAGGGAGGATTCCCTCTTTTTCTGTTGATTTGAATAGTTTCAGAAGGAATGCTACCAGCTCCTCCTTGTACCTCTGGTAAAATTCGGCTGTGAATCCATCTGGTCCTGGACTTTTTTTGGTTGGTAAGGTATTAATTATTGCCTCAATTTCAGAGCCTTTATTGGTCTATTCAAGAGATTCAACTTCTTCCTGGTTTAGTCTTGGGAGGGTGTATGTGTCGAGGAATTTATCCATTTCTTCTAGATTTTCTAGTTTATTTGCGTAGAGGTGTTTATAGTATTCTCTGATGGTAGTTTGCATTTCTGTGGCATCGGTGGTGATATCCTCTTTATCATTTTTTATTGTGTCTATTTGATTCTTCTCTCTTTTCTTCTTTATTAGTCTTGCTAGCGGTCTATCAATTTTGTTGATCGTTTCAAAAAACCACTCTTGGATTCATTGATTTTTGGAAGGGTTTTTGTGTCTCTATTTCCTTCAGTTCTGCTCTGATCTTAGTTATTTATTGCCTTCGGCTGGCTTTTGAATGTGTTTGCTCTTGCTTCTCTAGTTCTTTTAATTGTGATGTTAGGGTGTCAATTTTAGATCTTTCCTGCTTTCTCTTGTGGGCATTTAGTGCTGTAAATTTCCCTCTGCACACTGCTTTAAATGTGTCCCCGAGATTCTGATATGTTGTGTCTTTGTTCTCATTGGTTTCAAAGAACGTCTTTATTTCTGCCTTTATTTCGTTTTTTACCCAGTAGTCATTCAGGAGCAGGTTGTTCAATTTCCATGTAATTGAGTGGTTTGGAGTGAGTTTCTTAATGCTGAGTTGTAGTTTGATTGCACTGTGGTCTGAGAGACAGTTTGTTATAATTTCTGTTCTTTTACGTTTGCTGAGGAGTGCTTTACTTCCAACTATGTGGTCAATTTTGGAATAGGTGTGGTGTGGTGCTGAAAAGAATGTATATTCTGTTGATTTGGGGTAGAGAGTTCTGTAGATGTCTATTAGGTCTGCTTGGTGCAGAGCTGAGTTCAGTTCCTGGATATCCTTGTTAACTTTCTGTCTGGTTGATCTGTCTAATGTTGACAGTGGTGTGTATATTTATAAGTTAGTGGACTTTGTCTCCACTAGACACACTAGAGGGATTTCATGTTTATTAGTCTGAAAAACTGGGTTCAGGAAAGCTCATTTTTAATGCTGAGTGTGATAAATACTTGAATTGGCAAATAGCATGTCTTATAAGAACGGTAAACTCCTTCAAGACCCATTATCCATAGAAGCAGTGTTCTTAGAGTAATCTTAAAGAACAGTTTCTGTAGATGATTGGTGATGTATTGTATATAATACCAGTTAAAATTCATGCTGATTTGATTGTAACCATAGGTTTCCCTCAGTACAATACAGGTTTTCACAAATATTGTTTGATCTGTGTTCAAAATTGGGTTTGCAAGTTTTAACTTGATATCACAGTACCTATCTTTATCCCATTTGCATCAGCTTGTGATGGAATTTTAGGGACTACATAAGACTGTTAAATTTACTATATATGACAAATTCATTTACTATAATTTAATACCCATTTTTGAAGGGAAGTCTTCATATTCTACATCCTTGTTCTGAAATTTTTCCAGAAGATTTAAAGATTAAATTGTTGCTCTACTTACTGTGAAACTTCTTTTGTCAGTGTGATTTTTATACTGCATGATATACTCATTTTTATACTACACTGTGATTTTTATACTGCAGTGCTAGAGGGCAAAGTAGACTATAGAATGAACGACATAGTACTGGACCTATTAGACCTGGGCTAGAGAAGACATCTATGCTTTATGGGCGCTTCCTATGGTTCTCTTCTGGCTGTACACACACCATAAGGCAAGGAGTTTCATAGGGCCCAGGTGTGAGCATGTCGAGCCAGCATCCCCCTCGTCATTCTCTAGTACATATTCTGAGCACCTGAAATCCCCCAAGTCCTTGCCTGTTTGGCCCCCAAACCACCTCCAGGGCCTATTTAAGTTTGTCCCTCAAGCTCATCTACCTGTGAGCAGACCTCATTGCTAGTGAATGAACATCTAAGTCTGAAGAGTTTCCAAGAAGTGGATATATGCAGGGGATGTGTGACTGAAACTGGCAATGTGGGTTGAGTGTTCCATCTTCCCAAGGATAGACCATACCACAGATGTACATACCTCAGACCTAAAGAATCCCAAGACATGAGTCTGTACAGGGAGCTTGGTGGTTTGGGAATGGATGCCCACACAAATGTGAGCATAACCTTTTGTAGTACTGTACAGAACTGAGAATGAGTCTAGGTCTTCCCATACCTATCTGTTCTGGCACAGGTGGAGTTCTAGAAATCTAAATTCTATAAGGCTCTTTGCCTAATTGGAAGTATACTTATTGGGAAGTAATGAATGTAAAGTCAATATGAATAAGAAGGTCTATTTGTCATAGTAGAAGTATAGAATTTATTTTATTTGACAGTTTGTTAACTTGGCTTATAACTCCAAATATTTCAACTTATTCTATAGGAGATTCCATTTGCACCACTACCCTAGGCTCTACAAATGTTAGAAGTTAGTCTATACAGGGATTTCAAATTCTGTTTTCTAAAATCAGTATTAACTATTTGTTAGAAAATTTGACTCTTTTTATAAGTTATTGATCCTAAAGGAAACCTTGAGGTCATTGGCTCCACTCACTCACCCAGAATGGGAAATCACTTTCTAGAATCCATAACAGATGCTTATTCTGTTTCTGTTTTAATATTTTTAGAAACAGGCAGCTCAACAACATTAAAAGCAATGTTTCTAATTGTTTAATTAATTTACATTTTAAAACATTATTTCTAATGTTTAGTTCTGTTCTTTTTTTCTTCATTTATTCATGTGAAACAGGGCTCAGTGTTCTCACTGGCCAGCCTAAGCCAAAAATTAGTGGCAGGCTGTTTTTCCACACTGACACCTTTATTTGGGGATGAGAATTCACTGACTTTTTTTAGCTGGACTATGCACACTTTGTGTATTTTTATATATGTCATTCACTTTTACATTCATTCACTGAAGATTTATCAAGTACCCAATGGCCAAGGGATTTTTATTCATTCCTTAGCTCAGAAAAGAGTCTCTGAGTGCTGCCATTATTTCACAGTATTAATTTTAATTTTACTAGAATAAAAAAATAGTGAGCCATGCTTTATAACAAATGTGTTTATTTCTCTAAGGGAGAACTTTTGTTTGTTGACTAAGAAATTTCTCATTCAGCCATTGCTTCTTCCTTAAGTTTATTTTATTAAAAATTTTTGCTGATATGGAAGAAAAATGAAATGACACTTCTTTCAAAAATATGTTGTGGGAAACAAGGAATATAGAATGCTAAGAGGATATAAATATCAAAATATAATTGATGTAGAAAATCCTTTGGTGCTCACACAAAAATATTAGAACTAATAAGTGAGTTTAGCAAGGTTGCAGGATGCAAACGCATACAAAAATAAATTGTTTTTCTATACATCAACAAAAGGGTTTGAAAATGAATTTTTAAAATTCCATTTACAATAGCATCAAAGGAGAAAATACTTAGAAATGAATTTAACAAATAAGGGCATGGCTTGTATGCTGAAAATTATAAAACTTTGTTGAAAGACATTAATGGAGGCCTAATTAAATGTAAATGTATCCCATGTTCATCATTTGAAAGACTAAATATTGTTAAGATGATAATATCCCTTACTGATCTACAGATTCAGTGAAATCCCTATCAACATTTCAGGTAGTTTCTTATATAACTGACAAAATAATCTAAAAATTCATATGGAAATCCAAGGGACCTAAAATCACAAAAACGATTGTGAAAAGGATGAACATATTTTGAGTACTCATACTTTGTGTAGTAAATTTAAAAATTTACTACAAAAATACAATAATAAAGAAATTGTAGGCCGGGTGCAGTGACTCACACCTGTAATTCCAACACTTTGGGAGACCACCATGAGTGAATCACTTGAGATCAGGAGTTTGAGAGCATCCTGGGCAACATGGTGAAACCCTGTCTCTACTAAAAATACAAAAGTTAGCTGGGTGTGGTGTGGTGGCGGGCGCAACTTTAATCCCAGTTTCTTGGGAGCCTGAGGCAGGAGGATCCCTTGAAATGGGAGGCGGAGGTTGCAGTGAGCTGAGATTGTGCCTGTCTACTCCAGCCTGGGCAACAGAGAGAGACTCCATCTCAAAAAAAAAAAAAAAAAAAAAAAAAAAAAAAAAAAAAAGGAAGAAAAGAAAAGAAAAGAAAGTGTAGTGTGGACATAAGGACAGACATGTAGATCAATATAATTGCTTAGAAAGTCCAGAAATAGACCCTCACACATTCATGGTTAATTGGTTTTTTTTACAAGGGTTTCAAGAGCATTCAATGTGGAAAAAAATAGTCATTTCAACAAGTGGTGGTAGGACAGCTGTTTATCCAAATGCAAAAAAAATGAAGTTGGACTCTTATCCTGTTTATAAAAATTTAGCTCAATATGGATAAAAGAAATAAATGTAAGAGCTGAAGTTATAAAACTCCTGGAAAAAAACATAGAAGTATGTTTGCCACTATGGGTTAGGCAGTGGTTTCTTAGATATGACACGAAAGTTAAATGGCAAAGAAAAAAACTTAATAAATTGAACTACATCAAAATTACAACTTTTGTGGGTGCAAATGATATCAAGGAAGTGAAAAGAAAACATGCAGAATAGGAACAAATATTTGCAAATTATTTTTCTGATAAGGGGCTCTTATCCAAGAATGTAAAGAACTTTTATGACTCAGTAATAAAATGACAAATAATTCAGTTAAAAATTGACAGCTGACTTGAGTAGACATTTATTTATAGAAGGTAGCAAATTTACAATGATAATGTTAATATGTGCTCAACTTCATTGGTTATTAAAGAAATGCAAATCAAATCCTCAATGAAATAACATTGCATACATGCTAGGATGGCTAAAATAAAGACAGACAATAGCAAGTGTCAGTGAAGATGCAGAGATCCTGGAATCCTCATACATTGCTGATGTGATTGTAAAATGGTACAGTAACTTTGGAAAACATTTTAGCAGTTTTTCAAAATGTCCACCTGCAGGAATCTACCCAAGATAATGCATTAGAGGAGCTTTCTCCTTTAGAGTTGGGTGAAGGGGACATGTTTAAAGGGAAAGGATGTATAATCTTTTCCTAGAGATTAAAAATCACCACAAATATCAAGCCCTTAAATTACATATATTAGGCTTAATTTTCAAAAACCACCCAACAAGTTAGGAAGTGGTTTCATCGTTTTATATGAGATCTATTTACATTTCTGAGGCCCATAAAAATTAGAACACATATTTGATTAGTCTGACTTCAAAAATTGTGGCTGTTTTATCCTACATTTACTGTCTCCAAGCACAGAATCAGTTTACAAAATGGTGGCCTATATACCTAAAACAAAGGGACCATATAAGATTTCAGGTACACCTTAAATTTAACAGAGGAACAATCTTTGGTGAAGTGTTTATCCCTGGAAAACATATATAAATATAAATGTGTATACTGTGTATATCTATACATATAGAGATATACACATACCTATATACATATATATTCGTTTTAAATATATTTTAAGGGAATCTCTTGATTTCTTCAATTGTGATAGTATTAGTATTTATTATATTCAGCCAAAATATTGATGCTAAGGGAGATGGCCTTCCAATTTATATTTAAGCCATTCGTAAATACTAGAAATGTATTTAATAAACTTCTCAATTTGCATTATGTAAGTTTGGCTTCTTGAAATGTACAGGTAAGAAATTAGGAGTAGTATGAGCAACAAGCGTAATGACTGTTTCATTGTGACACTTGCAATGAATGGTCACTGGATAACCAGCAGTTTAAACCAGTGTTGCATCACCTTCTACTTCCCAATAATTTATACACAGTAAGATGCTCTCTATAACATGTGCTGAGTGAATGAAATTATTTGATGAAGAAACTGTGCCCTGGGGCAAGATGTATGTGAAGCAGGTCACATTCAGTTATATTTAAATACCTAGTGCTATTGACAGAGTTGGAATTTTTAACTCTAATGAATAATGGCCCACCTCTATATATTCAGGAAAATTGAGTTTTAAACACAAGGAATGCCTAATGTAATTAGATTTCTGAACATCTTGAAAATAAATTAATACAAATTCAAGCACATCTGCTTGTAGCATTTCTGTAAATTGAGTCTAAATGGTGAATGCCATTTTATATAATCATCACAGTAGAAGTAGGATCAGGAAAAAAGTCTTTTCATTTGAACCAAACCAATGCAACTTGAGTTGCTGATTTTAAATGTGTTGTTTTCTTTTCATTAAGATAGTAAATTTCAAGATATCTTTGGCAACAGTAAAGCCTCTTATTTTTTTACACACACATAGGACATATGTTCTACTCATGTTCTGGAAATAAATGCAATTGAATTTGAATGTGAGAAAATCAGAAATAACTTAGTAATGAGTACAGGTTGTTCCCAATTAATAATTCATTTAAAAAATCAGATTTATTGCTTTTTTATATCAATATCAGATCTACTGATTGATCAGATATATTGAATAAAATAAGCTCTCTGAGAGCTTATTTTCTAATATTTTACATGAAAAAGTTATAATGCATTGCATGTCAATCCAAAACTTTCAGACAGCTTTCTACAATATAACCCAAATTATACTTAACCATTAACATATAAGTAACAAGAGATTATGCTAGGTTTTAAAATGCATAAAATATCACTTTCTAATCACTGATCAATAAGGTTGTTAAAAAAAGTTTTTTTAAATTTGTGTCACCTCTTAGATGTCACTCTTTTGTTGTGGTTTCCAAGATGCGTACATGATATTTAAAAAATCCAGATTTTAAAAATGTATTGCATTTTGTGGAAATAAATATGAATTTTAAAGTTTAGTACCATGTTTTGTGGAAATAAATGTAAGTTTTCTGGTGTAAACAGCAGTGTAAAAATCATTGTGTTGAGAGCCGTGTATGTTTTATGAAATTTTCACATTAAAAACCAAGTGATATTCTTCTAGAAAGATTTATTCAGAGGGACAGGCTGATGGGTGGGCCTGACTGAGTTTAAATTCTAAGTTATCTATTGTAATGAGTGCTGGGAGTGAAAAATAATAAATGTGATATGGTCCTTGGCTTCAAGGAAGTCATAGTCTAATGAGGAAAACACTTGCAAATAGCACATTAAAAAGTGACAAAAGTGTTGCATTTAGAGTACAAAGTGCTAAGGGAGACCTGGGATGGGGCAGTCATGCAAAATGAGTATTAAAACTGGGCCTGCCTTAAAGATGGAGTAATTCTCCACTGGTCAGAGGAAGGAGGGAAGATCATCAGCAAAAGCCTAAGGACTTTGAGAGTATCGTTTGCTCAGAGTATGTATGAGGATAGACTACAACGTGCCTGTTTCAGGATGGCAAGAAAGAAGACTAGAAAGTGGTGAGCAATAAGACTAGAACGGTTGATCAATTTTTAGTGACCAGATAAAAATTAGAATTTAACCTTCAACAGTGAGAAGCAGGTACATGTCAGGGTAGTGACACTCATTCATTCAACAAAGATTTGAATGCTTAGTACAGCCAGGGAATAAACACAGTTCAGATACCATACTCCAACAGAAGAGAGAAAAGTGGAATGCTCAGATCTGTGTTTTAGAAAGACAGCTTGGATGTGGAAGACAAGTTTTATATGGATTTTCAGGGAAACTGGTTGAAGGGGTCCTGCCTATTCAGGTGAGAATGATGGGAAAGTGAATTGAGGCAGTGAGAGAGTATCTGAGTGGAGAAGCTCCATATGAGAGAAGCTCCAGAGATGGAATCAACAGGATTCCTTGACTACTGCATATAGAGTGGGGAGTACCAGGGAGTAACTCTTGCTCACATGGCTGAGATTTCTGGTTTTGTTGTTCTTGGGTGACTTAGGAAGATTGTGGTAAAAGAGAAGATAGTGAAAGAATAGGTTTTAGAGCTAATAGGTTTTAAAGTACAGTTTGAGATGCGCTGAGTTTTATTTGTATTAAAAATTTTAGAATGTAAATATAGAGTAAAATATTGAAAAAAGTATGAAACCCAGGAAGGTAGTTTGGGCTTGGTGTCTAAAAAGATGAAAGATGGTAGATGTGTATTATCGCAATGGGTGAAATCAACTGGAAGTGTCCTTAGCGCAGACGACCTCAACAAAAGGATTTTGTTCCAAATATAAAAGGAAAGGGGAAAATGTTATTTGGTTGAAGGAACTGCAGTACTGATGGTCTCAAGAATTTAGAAAAAGGTTCAGGAAGGCAATGAACCAGGGTAACCCTACTGAGGTGTAGGAGGAAGCTTCATACTGTGGCCACATCCTCTTCACCTGTTCTCTCATAAATCCACTCTAAAGAGTGTCTAAAATTGTTCTTATAAAGATACGCAGCATCTTTCACCTTGCCAATGCCAGTAGTCAAAACTCAGCTTCCATTTAACTATACTTCTCAGTAGGATGAGTCAGTTGATTTCTTTCTTTTTCTTAAGATACTTTCTGCACTTGAATCTTGTGATCTACATTTTCCTGATTTTCTTCCTCTTGCATTCATTGCCCCTTCTTACTTCATTTGCTGGATTCTCATTCTCTTCCTGAACTTTGCATATTAGAGTATCACTGGGCTCAGTCCTTGGCGATCTTCCTTCCTCTCTCCCACTCCTATAAATTCGAGCATCAATCATATGCTAATGACACAAACATTTACATGTCAACCCCCAACCTTTTCCTTAGGCTCCAGAATTCCTCATCCAACTCCTGATTCTACATCTCTTATTAGGTCTCACCTAAGTGTAGCCAAAGTACAACTTACATTTTTCCCAGCCAAGCCTGTTCTTCTGCCAGTCATTTTTATATCTGTAAATGTTGCTACTCCTCACCTACTTACTCAAGCCAAAAACCTGAGAGTCACTGTTGATTTCTCCCCTTTTTCTTAGACTTCCATTCTATCTACAGCAAACCTCTACCTTCCAAATAATCCAACCAATTTGTAGACCTTTACCTCTAACACTTTATCCTTCATCATATCTCACCTGGTCTAGTGCAACTGCCTCACAACTGATCTTCCTGCCTCTGCTCAAATCAGATTAAAACTGTGCTAAAATTCTTCAAAATTTTAGCATTGCACTTAGAAGAAAATAAAAGTTCTGTCTCATGATGTTACTTATTGTTGCATAATAAATTACCTCAAAACCTAAGCGCTTAAAATGGCAAACACTTACTATCTGGCTGTTTCCATAGTTAAGGAATTTTGGAAAAGCCTGGATGCACAGTTCTGGCCCAGAGTCTCTTAAGAAGTGAAAGTATAATAATAATAAAATAAAATAAAAAATTTAAAAAAAAGAAGTGGTGGTCATTTGAAAGCCTTACTGTTGAGAGAGGACTTATTTCTAAGGTGGCTCTCTCACACTGCTGTTAGCAAAAGGCTTCAGTTCCTCACAACATGGACCTCTACATAGGGCTGATTGAATGTTCTCAGGACATGGTACCTGACTTCCCTCTGACGCATGTTCTTTTTCTTTCTTCTTCTTTTTTTTTTGTTTTTTGTTTCTTGGAGACAGACTCTTGCTCTGTCGCTCAGGCTGGAGGGGTCAGTGGCACAATCTTGGCTCACGGCAACCTCCACCTCCCGTGTTCAAGCAATTCTCCTGCCTCAGCCCTTTGAGTAGATGGGATTACAGGCACATGCCACCACACGTGGCTAATCTTTTGAATTTTTAGTAGAGATGGGGTTTCACCATGTTGGTCAGGCAGGTTTTGAACTCCTGACCTCAAGTGATCCACCTGCCTCTGCCTCTCAAAGTGCTAGGATTACAGGCGTGAGCCACCGCACCCAGCCTACTGACACGTTTTCTAAGAGAAAGAGTGAAAAGGGAACCACAGTGTTTCTAATGACCTATTTTCAGAAGTGGTAGACTTTCTGTCCCTTTCTCCCACATTCATGCCACACTAAACACATCACCCTTCTAGCAATTTCTTAAATGTGCCAAATTCTTTCCAGCCTGAGATGTCTTGCACGTTGTTTCATTTTCCTTGAAAACTCTACCCCAGATCTTCATGCATTTATTTCCCATACTTAATTAATGTCTCTGATCAAGGATGACTTTCTCAGAGGCCATTTTTAATCACGCTTATCTAAACATCACTCACTTCTCACCATTTTATATGCCATTACCCTCTTTTACATTTTTCACAACATTTATTTCCATTTGTGACAACATGGATGGACCTGGAGGACATTATGCTACGTGTCACAGAAGGACAATCGCTACATGATTCCACTTACATCTGATATCTAAAATAGTCAAATGCATGGAAGCAAAGAATAGAATTGTGATTACCAGGGGCTGGAGCAAGGGAGAAGTAGGAATTGTTGCTCAATGGATATAATATTTATTATACAAGATGATAAGTTCTAGAGACCTGCTTGATATGGTTTGAATATTTGTCCTCTCCAAATCTCATGATGAAATAGAATCCCCAGTGTTGAAGGTGGAGGCTAGTGGGAGGTGTTTGGGTCATGAGGGCAGATCCCTCATGAATGGATTGGTGCTTTCCCCATGGTAATGAGTGAGCTCTTGCTCTGGTAGTTCACCTGAGAGCTGGTTGTTTAAAGCAGCCTGGTCCCTCCTCCTCTCTCTCTTGCTCCTTGTCTCACCGTGTGACATGCTGGCTCCCCTTCCTTTTCGCCATGACCAAAAGCTTTCTGGGTCTCACCAAAAGCCAAGCAGATGCTGGCACCATGTTCCTACTGCTGACAATCATGAGCCAAGTAAACCTCTTTTCTTTATAAATTACCCAGCCTCAGGTATTCTTTTATAGCAATGCAAATGGACAAATATACTGCTGTGCAACATAGTACTTACAATTAACAATACAGCATTGTGTACTTTAAAATAAGTTAAGAGGATAGATTTCACCTTGAGTATTCTTAACACAAAGAGCAAACAACGTCCCCTCCCCCGCAAAAAAATTAAACCAAACCATAGCACACACACAAAAGAACACAGGGAAATTTTTGGAAATGATGAATATATTTAGTATACTAATTGCAGTGATGGAGTCATGGCTGTATGCATATGTTAAAAGTCATCAAAATATAATAATAAAAATATGTTCAATATTTTGTATATAAACTTACATTAGTAAAACTTTTAAAAAATATCTTTCTGAATTACATTATAATTTACCTATTCATTTACTTTCTACCTCCCTAGACTGTAAGATTGAAGAAGGCACAGATTTTGCTTCACCACAGTGTTCAGTTTCTGGGATGGTGCCTGGGACAATAGTAGGCCTTCAATAAATAATTATTAAATGAAAGAGTGCATGAGTAAGAATATGAATGATTGATATAATGGTTCAGAACCTGGGCTTTATTATTCAAATCTCTTACTTTCCTTGCTGTACAATTGGAAAAATTAATATTCAGGTTTTCCTTTTGTATAATGTAGGTAATATTTGTTTATATCGTCGTGAGTTAATATGAAGATGGAATGATATAATGCATACAAATCACTTGAGCAATTCTTTGCACCAGGTGCAAGTTTAAGGAAACTTGATGTTGTCTTTGCCAGCATGATGGACTGTGGAACTCTGACACACAAAGTGGAATATCAATGTAAGATCTGCTACTTTTCTTATGTAATATGATTATGGTTGCTCAGCAAGGAGAAATATGTGTCCTGAATTTTTTTTTGTTGTGTTGAAATCTATGTGTATTTAACTTAGCAAGAACTAATTCAAAACACTGAATACATTCAAAGAAAGGGACCGAAATGGGACGACTACATGTAGATATATATGGAATGAGTATCAATAAAATGTTTTATTCTTTTAAGAAACCCATTAAAGTTCTTAA
This sequence comes from Homo sapiens, assembly GCF_000001405.40. Classification (NCBI taxonomy): domain Eukaryota; kingdom Metazoa; phylum Chordata; class Mammalia; order Primates; family Hominidae; genus Homo; species Homo sapiens. The sequence goes on along the minus strand of NC_000006.12, from coordinate 62,186,809 downwards.
CATTAAAATTTAAGAATTTGTGTCTGAGTCTCAACACAGTTAAAAATAAATAAATCTTTAACTCTTGCCTTTTGTGAGGTACCACTGCTTAATGTTAGATGACAATACTATCCAAAAGATTCCAACATTTTTTTGATGATAGTTTCAGCAAATTTATACCACACCCTATTCTTATCATCACCATAGCTGCATTTTCTCCTTCATTTTGTCCTATTTCATATTTAAATGAATATGTATGATATTCCTAGCATTTATATAATGATATTAGTCTGATAAAGGACACATTCAAATGTAAGTCATGGGTATACCATCAATAATTAACAATCTACTTAAAGACAAGATGTAAGCTTGTGAAATACATGACATTGACTGTCACGATGTTTGGTTTTAATGATACAAAACTTCAGTGAAGTCTCATGTCCAGCCCCCAAATGCAAGTAAATAAAATGATAATAGCTAGTATTCGTTATGCTCTTATTGTGTACCAAATGCTATTCTACGTACTTTTGAAAATTTGACTCACTTAATCCTTACAGCCGTTTTAGGAGGATATTATTCCCGTTTTAAACTAAGCAATGTGATGCAGAAAACTTAAGTAAACTAAGTAAATGAACTAGAATATGTGCAGAAATTGATCATTGCCTAATACATAGAAAAGGCTTAGAAAGCAATAACTGTCATCATCACTTGTTGGCAAGTGTCACACAGTTAACAAGTGGCAGATACAATACTGTATCCAGAAGCCTGCATTCTTAAGAATATACTAGGATGCCCCTCATAAGATTTGATTCCCACATTAGGGTGAATGGGTGGGGAGGAACAATAGAAGTCCAGAAAGCTTAAGTGACTTGTTCAAGGCCACTGTGTTAGGTTGTGGTCTTATCTTATACGCAAAATAGTACAACCTGAATATTTAACATACGAATTAGGTGGTAGGAGTTTATAAAGAGTGAAATTTCTGAGTTACTCTGTACAACTCCATGAGGGAGAGGAACTGTAAGCCAAGCCTTGAAGTGGTTATAATTTGGATAAGCAAACAGGAAATGGGGATTGGAGTATCAGATAGTTTCAGAATTTTAGTGGGTTTAGGGCATTAAAATAAATGAGTAGTGATTAAAACAGTTAACTATCTTATGATTAATTATCATTGAAAATAAATGCCTGGATCATATTTAAATTGTCTAGCAGTTAATGTCTCTATTTCTACTTCAATAATCAAAAATAATTACTTGTGAAGATACTTAATATTATTTAGCACTGATTTGTCATTAATGGATCTGACAGTCTCTTATGCCTTCAATAAAAAGGAAAATATGATTCTATATTCAAGAACAACTTTCCATCCCTTAAATTGTTGTGGAATTAGACCAGTATTCACTAAACTATGACCTGCTGACCTTTAGCCTGGGAGATCCATGACTTAGGACCATCTGTTTTGCTAGCAACATAGTTCAGATTTAAGGTTAGCATGTTATCATTTAAGGTTTGTTCTGTGAGAAATTACCCATTTTATTTTTCTATGATGTAAAACACAGGTTTAGGGTATAATTTCCTATTCTGCTTTGGCCTAATAACCGAGGCTATAACGATGGGTAAAATAAACTTCCTGCTAAGAGGTTACAAAATACAGGGAGACAAATGTGAGGTGTAATAATATCAAAACAATGCAATAATTATTGCCAGACAACAATGCACAAAATGCTAATCGTTATAATAACATCATTTGAAAGATTTACTTTATTTTAAAAAGATAAGTAAACAGAGGCTAACTAACTTGCTTAAGATCATGTAGCCAGCAGGTGACAAAGATATTTTAGCACCCAGATTTAACTCCAAAAACCGCAAAGGGAGCTCAAAGAAATTTTGCATTAGTGTGGACTGTTGGATTAATATTATTAATGCAGCATAATAATTTTAAAGTGGCATTTAATCACATACCTATTTCTGAGGTGAATTTGAGGCACCTTATATAAAAGCAAGTACAAGATAAAAATAAAGTATTCCTGCAGAATAAAACAAATAAAAAGTTGTAAATATGATGAAAAGAAAAAGAATTATGCAAGAAATCCTTATCTGAGGAAAGTTAGAGCTATTTGAAGACAGACTTAGCCTTGAGCTTCCTAGAAGTAGTTAAGGCAAAACATGAACTTTAATTGCCCACTCCCTGGAAAATGTTTTATATGAAGACAAATTTCTAAATGGTATTTTAAAGCAAAGATTGGCTTCTGTTTAATCCCTTTTGTTTGCATTATTAAATGTAAAGCTACATTAAGGACTCCTCAATTTTTACATTCTTTTTCTCTCTTTTCTTTTATGTATTTATAATATGTATTATATATGCTCTTTGAACTCCCGTTTCTTTATTTGGAAAGTGGGATAATTGTTACAGACTCTACAGGGTTATAATGCAGATATTCGTGGCAAAGTTCCATTGATGTTTCTTCACCCATTTTTTGATACTGAAATTTGAAATTTTCTATCTTTCTCGTGAGTATCAAAGAGGTAAAATTTGTGCAAAGTCGTTTCCTTGTATTCTGTGATTCATGTTAGGTTTTTATTTCATGACAATTGTAGTCTATTTGCCCTTTTATTCTGGACTTAGATTTCGAAGTGATGGAAGCTTATTATAATATAGTATACATAATCTCTAAATTTTCATGTGAAAATTTGTAAAAGGAAGATGAAAATTATTCTTCTGTGTTGCATTATTCTATTCTATTAACACTAATTATTAAAAGTTTGGTTCTGTATTCAAATACAAAAAGCAAAATGCATTTTTACTTGGAAACTAAAAAAGCATAATTTCAGAGTGGAAAAAAGTGGTATAAACTTTACTTGGTGATATTATTTAAATATAAGTTGTCCGTGTTCCATTTATAATGAGTTTTAATTACCAGGTAGTTAAGTATCATTTGTAAAATAGTTAAAGTTCCTTCCAAAAATATTCGTAAAGAAAAGTTAGGTGTTTTACAACCTCTCATTGAATTTTGATCATAGATGAGCAAAAATTCAAAAACATTGAATACTGGCATTCTACCCTATTGTTATATTTCAAGGTCATTTTCATTTCATTAACAAAAAATATTTTCTTCACAGACGAATTCCATGTTCTTCATTAAATACATTCTAAAATTATATCTTGCATGTAAATGTTCTTTTATATAGTGTCAAAAGATTATTTTTGAAGTCTTCTCGATAATTAAATGTATCTGGATTCTGAAAATTTCCATAGAACTAGAAACTTCTTTTTGCACATATTGTAAATTTGTCTCTTCTCTTTATTTTTAATTTTAGGAATATAAATATCTGGAAGACCATGTAATTCACCCTCTATAAAGAAATTAGGCATAAATAGTTCTATGTAATTGGTACTTGATGTACATATTTAGTACTATTTAATATTTAGTTCTATATAGCTCTATGTTGTGTTTGAAATGACTGGGAAACACTTCATTTATTTAAATTTACATAAATTTTGACTTTAGAGGAAAATATATAATTTTAAAATCCATCTTAAATAACCAACTTAAAATATAAGCAGATAATTGTGATTTCTGCGTTTGTGCATGTGTAATTATGTCATATATATTTAAAAATATGAGCCTCAACAATGTGCCAATCATAAAAAGAAATATAATCACCACAAAATAACTTGTGTTAAGCATCAAAATACAGACACAATCTTAATATGTTAATTTTATAGCTATTAAGGGTTCTAAAATCTTAAGCAAATTCTATTTTGAGGTCCGATAAATACTAGAAGTGTGTGGGAAGCCAGTGTTAAACATTTAGTGTAGCTAGTTCAGGAAGTATGAATTTTGTTGCAGGAAAAAAATCACATGGGTTAAGAAAGTAACTTGACAAGGTAAAGATTCACATATTCAAATAGCTCCTTTCACTGAAATATTACTCGTATTTTCAGAAAGAGTATTAAATAATCTTTACCTTGACACTGAATTTTGAAATTATAGACTATACTAAACTATACATATAGGGGAGGTATTAAAAATATTTTTGAAAGAGCTTCAGCAAAATGAAGAAACATTCTTAATATAAAAGAATTATATAGTATGACTTGCCAGTCCACGCAATTGCATCTCCTATTTTCTATAATCCTTTATTGTAAAACAAAACAAAATAACAAAAAACAAAACCTTCAAAAAATTCATCCACTTTATTGAGATATGGCTGACATACAAAAAGCTGTACATATGTAATATATACAGCTTGATGAATTTGGAGAGAAGTATACCCCTATGAAACCATTAACAACCAATACCATAGTCATTATCTATCACCTCAAAAAGTTTCATCCCACTACATTTATTTATTTTTGTGGTAAAACACTTAATACAAGATCTACCCTCTTAGCAAATTTTTAAGCCAACAATACAGTAATGTTAACTATAGGCACTATGTTGTACAGTGGTTCTCTAGGACTTGTTCATTGTTTACAGCTGAAACTTTGTATCTCTTAACCAACACTTCCCTGTTTCCTCCTTCTCTCAGTCCCCGTCATCACCATACTTCTTGCTTCTATGAGTTTGACTATTGTAGATTCCTCATATATAAATTTATGGTCTCTTAGTCTGTTAGGACTGCTATAATAAAATACCATAAATGGAGTGCCTTACAAACAATAAACATTTATTTCTCACAATTCTAGAGGCTGGAAAATCCAAGAAAATTCAAAATCTTGGAAAATTCCAAGATCCAGTAGGTTTGGTTTCTGGTGGGGGCTTATTTCCTGCTTCATAGATGATGCTTTTTTCTTGTGTCTTCACATTGTTGAAGGGGTGAATGAGCTCCCTTAACTTACTCATTTATTTATCATAGCTCTGAAGTTTAGGAAGTCCAAGATCTTGGTGCTGGCAGATTCAGTATCTGGGTAGGGGCCCACTTTCTGTTTTGTGGATGCTGCCATGTAGCTGTCTCCTTACCTTCTAGCTGTGTTCCCATGGTGGAAGTTGTGTTGGGGGCTCTCCCTCAGGCCTCTTTTTTAAGAGCATGAATCTCATTCATGAGGGTTCCATTCTCATGAAATAATCACCTCCCAAAGGCCTAACCTTTTAATACTGTCATCTTGGAGTCAGGATTTGAACATATGAATTTGGTGGGGGCACAAACTTTCAGACCATAACAACTAGGTCATATGGTAGGTTAATTTTTTTTAAGGAATCTCTATACTGTTTTTCATAGTTAGTGGATTCACCAGTTTACATTTTCATCAATAATGTACAAGGATTCCCTTTTATCCACATCCTTGCCAACTTTCTTTTTTCAATAATAGCCATCCTAACAGGTGTGAAGTAATAATTCATTGTTGCTTTGATTTGCATTTCTCTGACGATTAGTGATGTCCAGCATCTCTTCATATTGCCATTGTCCATTTGCATATCATCTTTGGAGAAATGCCTATTCAGGTTCTTTGCCAATTTTGAATTCATTATTTGGTTTCTTGCTATTAAGTTGTAGGAGTTCCTTATGTATTTTGGATATCAGATCTATTATCAGATATATGGTTTTCAAATATTTCATTCCATTCTGTAAGTCACATTTTCATTTTGTTGACTGTTTCTTTTGCTGTGTAGAAACTGTTTGTTTGATATAATCCCACTTGTCTATTTTTGCTTTTGTTGCTTATGCTTTTGTGATCATAGCTAAGAAATTATTCCCCACACCAATGTCAAGAAGCATTTACCCCTTTTTCTTCCAGGACTCTTACAATTTCTGGTCTTATGTTTAAGTCTTTAATTCACTTTGAGTTGATTTTTTTTTTTTTTGTGCAGTGTAAGAGAAGAGTCCAATTTTATTGTTGTGCATGTGGACATCCAGTTTTCTCAACACTATTTATTGAAGAGACTTTTTTTCTCCCTTGTACATTCTTGGCACCTGTGTCAAAGAACAATTGAACATACATGTATAGATTCATGTCTGGACTCCATGTTATGTTCCACTAGTCTATATTTCTGTTTTTATGCCAGTATAATACTGTTTTGATTACTATGACTTTATAATATATTTTGAAATTGGGAAGTGTGATGTCTCCAGTTGTGTATTTTCTCAAAATTACTTTGGCCATTTGAAGTTCTTTTATCATTTTATATAAATTTGGGGATTATTTTTTCTATTTTTGTAAAAAATGTCATTGGGATTTTGACAGAGATTGAACTGAATCTTTAGGTTATTGGGGTATTATGGACATTTTAACAATATTAATTCTTCCAATCTATAAACATAAAGTGTCTTTTCATTTATTTTTGTCTCCTTTGATTTATTTCATCAATGCTTTTGGTTTTCAGCGTACAAGTCGTTAACCAGCTTAACTAAGTTTACTCCCAAGTGTTTTATTCTTTCTGATGCTATTTTAAATAAGATTGCTTTCTTAATTTCTTTTTTGGATAGTTTGTTGCTAGTATATAGAAATGGAACTGATTTTTGGATGTTGATTTTATATTTTGCAACTTTCCTGAATTCACTTATTAGTTCTAATAGTTTTTACGTGAAGTCTTTAGGCGTTTCCTACATATCAGATCATGTCAACTGCAAACAGATATCTTTATTTTTACTTTCCTTATTTGGATGCCTATTTTTCCCCTTGCATAATTGCTCTGGTTAGGTCTTCCAGTAGTACGTTGAATAGAAGTTGTAAGACGGGGCATCCCCACATTGTTCTGGATCTCTGGAACATGTAGTGTTTGGTTTTCTGTTCTTGTGTTAGTTTGCTGAGGATGATGGTTTACTATGCAGTCATAAAAAATGATAAGTTCATGTCCTTCGCAGAGACATGGATGAAGCTTTCTTTGGTTTTAAACTCAGGCAAGTTTGGCATATACCATTTTGTTACTATGCATTTGACAAATACAAGTATTGATCTATTAGTCATGGAGATATGCCAAAGAAGACAAGATAACTCCCTGAAAGTATTAGGAGGGCAAAATAATACCAAAAAACTTCAGAAGAAAATTGTAGAATTGAACAGAAATAGCAGTGGAAATGATATTTCATTTAACTCCATTTCTTGATGGAAAGGTTATTAGAATTAATCCTGGCCTGATCAAATTGCAGATGTCTAAAAAAGCCTAAGGTAGTAGTTTTGTGGTTGACAAATAATTTCAGACAAATTCAATTTATTTTTATGAAAAAGTAACAAGGGAGAAGCCATATGTATTATAGATCAGGAATTGAGTCAGCTTCTTCACTGTGTTCCACATTACGATTACCTCAGCAAGCTACAAAGTATGACATTATGTAGGTGTATACACCCATAGGGCAGTGATCAAAAGTTTATTCTTAGTATCAGAGGACATGATGAATGGATTTTCTTTGCAATTATCATAATTGTGGTTGTATTAATTATATAAGGGATGGAAAGGTTGGAATAAAGTGATTTTCAATTTAACAAGTCAGTTAGTTAAAGTGGCTTGTTAATACTTCCATGTAGAATATAGGAATCTGATGTTATCACACTAAGTAGAAATTATAGACATATAACTTATTTTCAAACAATTCAGTTTAGTTCAAGATACTTGTCTTTAGGGAAATTGTACCGTGTAACTGATAAGATGATTATAAATGACTTCGTAAAAATTATGCAGTGTAGATTTCACTCAGGTATTACCTGGGTAAGTAATGTAATATTACTCCAAAATAATTCTTTTAAATTCCACACAGCCCAAATAAATAGTATGCGAAAAGATTACTAATTGAAATGTTTTAGGAATTTTTCTTTAAGCCATTTGAAAACATTTGGGGGAAAAATGTTAGTTAAAGATAGAATAACAAAAAACAAAACTATTAGATAAAATATATATTCCCCTTACCTTTGGAAATAGTCAGACCTTTAAAAGATAATTGTTGTAAAATGCAATATAAATAAATTTATATGAAACATGTTCATACTTAATAACTATCATCACCTTTTCTCTACTCCAAAATAACAAAAGTATAATGTTTTGTTCTATCCATAGCAAAAGTAAAACACTGTCACATTCTTATCTTAGTTAGTATTTTAGTACATTGACTAAGAGCAAAGAACAAAAAGAAATATTTACTGATTATGTTATGATCATTATAATAACTATATAAAAAACATAAAGGTAATTTTTAAAATGAATTTTTAACAATTCTCCAAAACACTTATTTTACATAGTGCATTGCATGAGATGACTGTAGTTGTAACTACACAGTCTTTTAACGTCTCATTCCTACTTTGTCAGCCTCGTTTCTCAACTAGACAAATGTAAGTTGGTTTCCTTTTTTGCTTGCCTTCTGCTGTGATTGATTTTGCATATTACATACTATGTTATCTTTAAAAATAAAAATACAATGTGGCTGCCTTCCTTTACTCTTCAAAGTGATCCAGAGGCTTACCATTGCAGTCACAATATAAAGCAGAAAACATCATGTATTCTACAGGTTCTTACATGATCTGTCCTATAATCACTTACCAAGCCTTTTTTCCACATTCACTATTCTTCAGCCACACAGGCTTTCTTGCTTCTTCTATTCCAAGAGCAAGCAAAGCTTGGTTTTCATCAGACTGTTAAGCTCTTCTTAGTCTTCTCATGGCTTATTCTTCTCTGTCATTCAGGGCTTTGATCAAATATCACCCTTCAAATCTGAAGTAATAGCCACTGCTTGAGTCTCCTTTGTATTCTTAACAGCATATTGTGTTTATTATTTGCCCCCAGCCATAACTGTATGTGTGCCCATATATTCATTTTCTCACTGTTCCTTTTCCACATTAGAATATAGAGTCTATAAAAACAGAGACATTTTATTGTTTTCTGTTGTATTTCTGGTACCTAGTAGAGATTTAATATTTTTTATGGAATAAATTGATTCAAAAATGAAGGAGTGGATAAGTATGCTCCAAAATATCGAATTTGGTAATATTCTAATATTTTTCTTAAACACCTATATAATGTCTTATTGATGAATATGAATGTTAGCATTTATAGATTTAATCATTTATATGACTTTTCTATGATTCCTAGTGAAATATCATGCAATTTCTCTTTACTACCTATTTTAGCTAACTGAATAATTACCATTTTAATTATTTTTATTTTCTTAGGAATAATTCTGAGTAAAAATAAAGCATATATCCTTAAAATGTATTTTGTTCTATTTATTGCTCCTGGAAAAAATTAAGTTTGCTAAAATAGTTTAAATAGTCAAAGGGCATATATTACCTTTTTGTTGTGTTTGAAGATATTAAAAATTAATTAAATTCATCAATTTTTTCACAGAAGACACAGTCACATCTTCAATTATCGCTTTTTAGTTTGAGTTGACAGAGGTTCTCTTACATACAGTAGCAGCATTCACATAACTGTTGGTGAGATGCTGTTTCAGGCCTTTTATCAATATTCATCAAAATCTTATTTGAGAAGAGGAGTAATATGAATATTATTTATGATAACATTTTTCAGCATATTTATGATAACATTGTTCCTCATTTCACTTGTTTTCTTCTTGTGATTTTCTTCCAGAAATTGAAAAGTTTCAAGGTTCTGATGGAAAAAAGGAAGACGAAGAAAAGAAGTATCTTGATGTCATCAGCAACAAAAACATAAAGCTCTCAGAAAGAGTACTGATTCCTGTCAAGCAGTATCCAAAGGTACTACCATATATACTTTGTTCTCATATAATTGATTTAGAAATGATAAAAGAAGACGGTATTTTAATTATTCACTTTTATAAAATAAATATTTGAAGCTTCATAATGTAAGTGTATGCAAGCACATGATACTGACATAGGGGAAGGAAAACTTTTGAAAGTGCAATGGTGAGGGTAATTTTCAACTGAAGGCTACAGCATTTTTGTTCTGTGAATGTAGGAGGCATAATCAGATATTTTAATCATTTATTCAAAATATAAATGATATATCAATTTTTCCAAATATGTACACCCACTTGATTATCTTTGGTTCATGTTAAAATGTATATCCTTACTATAAAACGGAGTAGAGTTAATAATACTAAATATGTAACATTAGAAAATCAGCAGGGAATTATTACTAATATATCTAAGAAAGTCACATGGTGGTTATTAGACTCTTAGATTATAACCTATAGTCTTCTATAATCAAAGTTTATTCATAAAATAATTATGATATCATTCTTAATGTTACATCTTTCTTTAAACTATTTTTTCACCAATAGATCATTGATTATAAAAGATAGCATTCAGTGGCATGGTTTTATCAATTATATTCATACATTTCAATGGGTAAACAGAGGGATTTTTTTTGGTCAAATGAATGAAGGAAACTAAAATGTAAACTCAAAGATTCAAGCTGATAATTTACTTTCTGAAGAGTGAATGTGAAGCAAGGACCATGTAATTATCCTAATAGTAACGATTACAGAAATAAATGCTCTGGTTTACCAATTGTCTTCTAATATGATAAACTTTAGTAAATATAATTAACTAGATGCTTTGTCTACAATTATTTCAAACAGGGATAAAATTGTTAAAGCCCAGCAAACCATAAAATTTATCTTTGAGATGAAGTATTTTGGGCATGGAATTTTTTTGAGCTAGACTCTATTGCATGAAAGCTGTGTTACATAGGTATATGTTTTTAAAATAAACTTTATTAGATTTGCTTTATAATCATGTTCTCTTGAATATTAAATTGGGCAGTCTTAGAAATGTACATGAAAAATTTGCATAGTAGTGAAATAAGGTAGAAATATGTTGGAGTATAAAGAATAATGTGTCCTTTTTCACTTGATCAATTAACCAGTTACAGTCTTGAATAGAAGTTTCTTTTCATAAATCATACATTTAAATATGGTATAACTTGATGATGTTTCTTGGAATAACATATTTTTATCTCTGGATATGGGAAAGTCAATGACAGACTTAATACCTGCCTCTAAATAAAAATGTAGTTCTATAGTCTCTGATCAAATTAAGCTGGCAAGGTATGTAAGGCATTTAAAGTCTTGATGGCTCTTTAAGTTCCCATATGAGTGGTTTTATGCTGATTATTACCAGATCTATGTTTGATTCAGAATGATGAATACCGAAATAAGAATATTCTATGATGTCAAATTTTTGTGTGAAGTTTTATTTTGTAATGTATAAGAAAATGCTCCAACAATAAAACTGCTTATTCTTAACTGCCGTGGACCACGGATCACCAGCAAACTATTGTCTCTCTTATAATTTTTAAAATCATGGAATGCTTAGGCTGGAACTAATCTTGGAAATCACAGAATATATAAAACTTTTATTTTACAGATGAGGCAACTGAAAAAGTATGAATTGCTCAAGGTCATGCTTCTGTTATAGATGGAAATCTTTAGTGCAGTTACTATAATTTTAGATTCTTCATTTTCGGTGAACCATTACATTTTTAACTTGACTGATCATGCCCACATATTTGCATTACTTTTTCATGTTAAGTGTGGAAGAATGTGAAAAATGATAACACCTGATGTTTAATATAATAGTTTTATGGGATAGTCTCAAATAACAATTCATGCTTGAGAAAATTTACCATTTCTTTAACTTATGAATAGCCTGCCAAACTCCTTTATTTTTAAAGGAATATTCATTTCACCTAATTATCACACATAAGATAACTTTAGAGCTTTTTGATAGAAAAAGAGTGAAATTCTGAGAAGCAGATTTATACTCGCTTATCAAAGTTGACCTACCTTGTTCTGGTTTTTATAGTACAACAATAAATCATAATATTTTGAAAACAAACTATGTCTTATTATATTTAATAATCTTTTGAAAACAAACCATATTTTATTACAAAAGTTGTGATTTTTTTCCTGCTGTTCATTTTCCACTTCTTAGAAAAATATCAGTGAGATAGTTAAGATTATGATCACTAAACTTCATCTGTATTTGATGTACATTTATGATCTGTAAAATATGTGATGTGGTGTAATACTATGAGCTGTTAAGCAGAACACAACAGTATTTATGGATTTAAAATTTAATCTTTTATAATAAAAAAGTGATTTATCCTTCAGGGGGCCACACTGGTGAAAGACTTCTTTTATACAGCTTTCTCTCAGAACCATTTCTCCCCTTGACAACTGCTGTCTGTACCAATAATTAATGTGATGATGACACAGTCCTCTCAAAGAGCAATAAATGACTATGGGAATTCTTGGGGAAATGGCCCTCTCAAGACTTTACTACATGACTTTTTTTGGATAGATTGTGTTTCAGTTACTCTCCAAATTCAAGTTAATCTGCTGACTTAGTTGAATGCTACAAGAAATTGAATGAAGTTTAAAATTTAATTTATAAAAATTATAAAAATGCTCTTTAAGAATGATTTATCTAGCCCTGGTGCTTTACGTTTAATAATTTAACTTGGGGAAATATGTCATATTATAATATTAAATTATTTTGAGCAGTTTTTCGTATTTGGCTTTATATTTTTATAATATAAATATATAATTCTCATTATAGAGATCTTTCACCTTTTTGTTTAACTGTATTTCTAGTTTTTTTATGGCCATTGTGAATGGGATTGCATTATTGATATGATTCTTAGCTTTGATGTTGGTGTATAGAAATGCTACTACTGATTTTTGTACATTGATTTTGTATCCTGAAACTTAGCTTAAGTTCCTTATCAGATCTAGGAGCTTTTGAGAAGAGACTATGGGGCTTTATAGGTACAGTATCATATCATCTGAAAATAAGGATAGTTTGGCTTTCTCCCTTTCTATTTGCATGTCTTTTATTTATTCTTCCTGCCTGATTTCCCTGGCCAGAGTTTCCAGTATTATGTTGAATATGAGTAGTGAGAGAGGGTGTCACTGTCTGTTCTGGTTTTGAAGGTGAGTGCTTCCAGCTTTTGCCCATTCAGTATGTTGGCTGTGGGTTTTTCATAGATGGCTCTTATTATTTTGAAATATATTCCCTCAATGCTTAGTCTGTTCAGGGTTTTTAACATGAAGGGATGTTGAATTTTATTGAAATAATTTTGTGTGTCTATTTAAATGATCATATGGTTTTTTATTTTAATTTGTGTGAATAATCACATTTATTGATTTGCATATGTTAAGCCAACCTTGCTTCTCAGGGATAAAGCCTACCTGATTGTGGAATATTAGCTTTTTAACCTGCTGCTGGATTTGGTTTGCTAGTATTTTGTTGAGGACTGTTGCATCTACGTTCATCAAGGATATAGGCCTGAAGTTTTAATAGTTTTCTTTGTGTCTCTTCCAGGTTTTGGTATCAGGATGATGCTGGACTCATAGACTGAGTTAGAGTTTGGAATAGTTTCAGTAGGAATGGGACCAGCTCTTCTTTATACATCTGGTAAAATCTGGATGTGAATCCAACTGGTCCTGGGCTTTTTCTGGTTGGTAGTCTGTTTATTACTGATTCAATTTTGGAACTCATTATTGGTCTGTTTAGGGATTCAGTCTCTCCCTTGTTCTATCTTGGGAGGTTGTATGTGTCCAGGAATTTACCAGTTTCTTCCAAGTTTTCTAGCATATGTGTGTATAGAGGTGTTTTTAATAGTCTCTGAAGGTTTTTGTATTTCTGTGGGATCCCTAAAGTGGTAACGTCCCCTTTGTTATTTGTTTATGTTTACTTGGATCATCTCTTTTTTTTTTTTCTTTATTAGTCTAGCTAGTGGTTTATCTTATTTACTCTTTCAGCGAACCAACTCCTGGACGCGAACATTTGTGTTTTTTGCATGTTACAACTTCCTTCAGTTCAGGCCTGGTTTTGTTTATTCCTTGTCTTCTGCTAGCTTTGATGTTGGTTTGCTCTTGTTTCTCTACTTCCTCTAGGTGTCATGTTAGGTTGCTAATTTGAGATCTTCCTAGTTATGTGATATGGGCATTTTGCACTATAAACTTTCTTATTAATAAGGCTTTAGTTGTGTCCCAGTGACTCTTGTACGTTCTATCTTTGTTCTCAGTAGTTTCAAAGAAATTCTTGATTTCTGCCTTAATTTCATTGTTCACTCAAAAGTCATTCAGGAGCAGGTTAATTTCCACGTAATTCTGTGATTTTGAGCAATCTTCTTAGCATTGATATGTATTTTTATTGTGCTGTGGTCCAAGAGCATGCTTGGTATGATTCCAGGTTTTTTTTTTTTTTTTTTTTTCAGTTTGCTGGGGATTGTTTTATGGCCAATTGTGTGGTCAATTTTAAAGTGCCATGTGCAGAGAGAAATATATATTTTGAAATTTTGGGGTAGAGAGTTCTTTAGATGTCTATTAGGTTCATTTAGCCAAGTGTTGAGTTCAGGTTCTGAATATCTTTGTTAGTTTCTGCCACGATGATCTGTCTAGTACTGTCAGTGGTGTGTTGGAGTCTCCCACTATTGTTGTGTGGTTATCTAGGTTTCTTTGTAGGCCTCTAAGAATTTGCTTTATTAATCTGGGTACTCCTATGTTGCATGCATATATGCTTAGGATAATTAAGTCTTCTTGTTGAATTGAACCCTTCTATTATATAATGTACTTCTTTTTCTCTTTTGATTTTTGTTTGCTTAAAGTTTGTTTGTCTGAAATTAGAGTAGCAACCCCTGATTTTTGGTTTGTTTGTTTGCTTTCCATTTGCTTGGTAGATTTTTCTCCATCCCATTACTTTGAGCCTATGGATGTCATTGCATGTGAGATGGGTCTCTTCAAGGAACATACAGTTGGGTCTTGCTTTTTTATCCAATCTGCCGTTCTGTGCCTTTTAGTTGGGGCATTTCACCCATTTATATTCAAGGTTAGTTTGGATATGTGTGATTTGATCCTGTCATCATGTTATTAGGTAGTTATTATGCAGACTTGATTGTGTAGTTGCTTGATAGTGTAAATGGTCTATGTACTTAAGTGTGTTTTTGTGGTGGTGCATAATGGTCGTTTGTTTCCATATTTAGTATTCTATTAAGGTCCTCTTGTAAGGCAGGTCTGGTATTAATGAATTTCCTTAGCATTTGCTTGTCTCAAAAGAATCTTATTTCTCCTTTGCTTATGAAGCTCATTTTGGTAGGAAATGAAATTATTGGTTGTAGTTTATTTTCTTTAGGAGTGATGAATATAGGCCCTCAATCTCTTCTGGCTTACAGGGTTACTGCTGATAGGACTGTTGTTAGCCAGATCGGGTTTCCTTTGTAGGTGGCCTGCCCCTTCTCTAGCTGCCTTTAATATCTTTTATTTTATTTTGACTGAAAATCTGATGACTATGTGTCTTGGGGATGGTCATCTTCTATAGTATCTTACAGTGGTTCTCTGCATTTCCTGAATTTGGATGTTGGCCTCTCGCAAGGTTGGGGACATTGTTGCGGACAATATCCTCAAATACATTTTCCAAGTTGCTTGCTTTCTCTCTCTCTTTCAGGGATGCCAGTGAGTTGTAGTTTTGATCTCTTTACATAATCCCATATTATAAGAGGTTTTGTTCATATTTGTTTATTCTTTTTTTTTTAATTTTTGTCTGACTGAGTGGATTTGGACAACCAGTGTTTGAGCTCTAAGATTCTTTCCTCAGCTTGGTCTATTCTGTTGTTAATACTTGTGATTGTATTATTAAATTTTTGTAGTCCATTTTTCAGCTCTATCAGATTACTTGGTTCTTTTTTTGTATTCCTTAGATTCCTTGGAATAGATTTTGACTTTCTCCTGAATCTCTATGATCTTCATTCCTATCCATACCCTGAATTCTGTATCTGCCATTTCACCCAGTTCAGCCTGGTTAAGAACCATTGTTGGGGAACTAATTAAGTTGTTTGGAGGTAGGAAGACACTCTGGTTTTTTGAGTTGCCAGGGTTCTTACACTGGTTCTTTCTCTCTGTGTGGGTAAATGGTCCTTTAATATTTGAAGTCACTGTCCTTTGGTTGGTTTTTTTTTTTTTTTGCGTTTATCTTCTTTGATGCCCTTGGCATTTTGACTTTGGTATAAGGCGGGTTCAGTCAACTGGCTTTGATTCTGGAATATTTCAGGGGGCCACAGCTCAGTTCTGCACTCCTGGGCTACATGCTCTTACCTTGAGTGGGCTGGTACCCAGGTCCCCATCTTTGTTCTCTGGCCCCTTGAGGTTTAGGAACCTGCTGTGCTGGGGAGGATAACGTGATCCTGGTTTGTGGCCACAACTGTTTGATGGGGAGTGCCAGCCAAAGTACTTCATCAGGGTGGTGGCAGTGGGATCCATGGTTGTTCTCATGTGCCAGCAGCCATGGTGGTATAGCAGGGTGCACATGTGTTGGCTGGGATATCCTGGCAAAATATTTCAGTCCTGTATTTTTTGGCCACAGTCCAGTAGGTGGCACTTAAGAGTGTTAGCCAGCGGATAGGCTCTTACTGTCCTGCGTGGTTCTTCTGTTTTTTGGCACAGTTGGCAGTAGTTCTCTGTGATGCTTTGGAGAGGGATGGCCCACTCACACAGTCTGCTCCCAGGCCTTGGAGGAGCCCCCTTCAATCAAGCTCCATCCCTGCGTTTCTTCTGCTGGATGTTTTGGTCCATGGGGCTTTCTCAGGTAGCGGCAGTGGTCCATAGACAGGCTGTAGTTGGCCTTGTGGAGGGAGACATGCCCTGATCCTCCACCAGCCTGTGAACACAGGTGTCTCACTTCTTTCAGTGAAGGCTCCTCCCTGCTTAGTCACCAACCAAGCTGGCAGGTCCCACTCAGCTAGGTGCTGTGGGAGTGGGTGGGGTCAGATGACTGTCTGGGTGCTTCCCCAGGGAACACGATTGTGCCTTCCCACAGATTTTGGACAGAAGTAAGACAGTGGGCTAAAAGATCTAGCAGGCGTGGCGCACATTGCTACCAGTGTTTGGGGTAGGTGAAGTCACCTGCCCTGCTATCTGGGTATTTTCTAAGACTGTAAGAAGGCTGTACCTGCTAGCTGAGTTCAAGCAGAAGAGGGACCACTGGGACAGAAGCTGGCCTCAAGCTTTGTCTGGTGAGGGTGGATGGATCAATCTTACTGCTCCCACACATTGCAACTGTGGCTTCCGTCAGGGCTGTGGCACTGGTGCTAGTCTGTTCCAGGGTCTAAGGCTTCAGAGGCCTCTGTGGACTTGAGACTTACCTTTGCCAAAACTACTGGTAGTTCTCTGCCTCAGTTTAGAAGTGTGTGGTGTAATGCAGTGGGGCCGGGGCATTTTCCCATCCCTAGTCTTGCACAGGTCCCTGTCAAGAGAGTGTGAATCTCCCATGGGACTCCTAGTCACTTACCCTTTCCCATATGGGGAGCTTCTCCTGTCTACACATTGATTCCATAAGGGCTACTGCCCAGCTTTGTTCTTCTCTGCTGTGTCCTCTTCCTGCCTTGATGGATCCCAAAGCGATTTCTTAAGTGATCAGCTCGTTGGGTCAGTGTTCACTAGCCCTTTTCTTTCCTCTCCATGAGAGCAGTACACATGAGCTTCTTGCTTCTAGTACATCAGTTTGACCCAATTTCCAATTATTTCTTGATAGTTAAGCCTCTACAAAGGCAACATTTGTCAATATGTTCCTCCATATTCCTAAGACATTCATGTAAAAGACTCTGGAGGTTGATTCTAGGCGCACTGCCTATGAGTTAGCCCAGCTTTGCAAGGAGCAGTTAAAAAGAAATATATATACACACATATATATGTGTGTGTGTATATATACATATATATACATATATGTATACGTATATATACATATATACATATATGTGTACGTATATATACACACATATATGTGTGTATATGTATATATACACACATATATGTGTATATATAAATATAAATGTGTATATATTTATATTCATGTATACATATATATATATATATATATATATATATGACTGGAGAACAAACACTATTCTTAACATTAGCTATTTCTTCTCCACACATACTATGTTTCATTGTTGAATATACCATTTCTTTCAAATTTTAACATCTCCACCTATAGTGCATATTACAGTCAGCATCATAATACAATGTCTTTCAGGCATTCAGTGATCATAGCTCACTGTTTTTGTCTGTACATGTGTGAATGTGGTACTGGCTTCTTATAGTAAGTTGTTTGTAGCATAGGAACTATGTGTATTGAGTTTAATTGCAGTTTTAAATGTCTTCAATACAATTACATCATGAGTTAGTGGTAAAATGCAAAGCTGTTACAGATACCAAAAGAATAAACACATAGCTTAGGGTATAAAGTTGATATTAATGAAGACAATTATTACCCTTGGAGAAATGATTAAAATTCCATTTTTTCTTGTGCCACAACAAACAAGTGCCTTGCAGGATCTAATAAACCAAGATATACCTAAATGGCACAAGCTGTGCTATATTTCGTTACTACTAGACATGCAAAAGGAATGCTTGGCACATGTCTGGGTAAACCGAGAGACCATTAGAGGACTGGAATGTGCGGCTTCCTCTTGTAAGAGGGTATCTACTTGTTGCTTGCTGGTGTACCTGTTTGTTCACCTAGGCAATTCAGCCTCTCAGTGCCTTTAAAAGTATCTCTTTGATGTACTTTTAGAATTCTGTGAAATACATCAGACCTTTTCTTCAATTAAATTTGCCCCAAGGCCCACTTTATATTTCTTGACTTGAGTTACTGCCAACTTTTTAAAGCAATATATTGCCAGGAGTGTAAAACTGCCCCAAATTTGGCCTTTTTTAAGATCAAATGCAGCCACATTCCCCTGTGCTGGTTTTCAAATAAATTTCTTATGTAGATTAATGCAGAAAACTGAAGTTCCAAAATGTGTTTAAAACCATCTCACTTGCTCTATACTTCTTCTTATTCTGTTCAGTCCCAGAAAAAGGGGCAGCCTTCTGTGCTTGGTTGGAAGAAGTCTCATCCTCGGTTGCAACTTTCCATGTCTTCCCACAGAGTGTGCGTTTCCTTCTTTATACATCAAAAGATGAAATACCCAAGTCCAAGTACTTGATGAGTGTGATTTTTCTGACTTTTAAAGTAGTTATCAGATCATTTAAGAATAGTTCCTAAATGTGGAAACTACGACTCCTATGGAAACTACGACTCAAAGCCAAATATAGCCACTTATAATCTTGGAAACATGTCTATTTTTGTAAGCAATATGGTTTTTCAGAAGCCACTCTGTAGCTTACAGCTTAAACCTGTTTTATCTTTACCACAGACCACTGCACAGCATTGCTTTTTATTTTTCTAAAGTAAATGGAAGAGAGGATTTGATGGGCTTTGTGATTTCAGTTTCATTCATATCAGTTTCCCAACTCCTCATTTGTGAATTTAAATTTTAATTGAGAAAATGATATGACACTGATTCACATTTTTATGAGGAAAAAAAATTCAAATTGCTGTAGACCATATTCTCTCCAATAGAATGGCATTTGAAATAATCCTGTTTTCTAGAAAAATTTAGAAATTTTCAGTGGTATTATGTCTAGAATTTGTCTTTTCTGATTACCCATCCTTTTAATTAATGCCCAACCCATGTACTTCAAATATTATTTTTCCATTTTGTATTTTTTTAATTTTTATGTTTTCATCCCACATTGAGTCATGCATTTCTAATTCCGAATTAGTTGTGCTTCTACTCACATCATTTTTTATGACCCCTTACGAATATGTCCTTGATTTTCCTGAAATCATACCAGTCTCTCCTTCTTTTCTACATCTAGTGAATATTCAGCCTGTTTTAACTAGTTGTTTTCATTCTGCAACAAAACCCCTAGCCCTTTCCTTCTCATACCTCAGGCCAATATTTTCTACCTTATTTGGGAGGGTTGCTTCTTATTTTCACATTTACCCTCAACTGGAAAACTGAAGACTGCTTCAAAAGGACCATTAAAATGCAGGTGCTTTTTGAAAAATGTCCAAACCCGTATTCTTTCTTTAGGGCCCCATGACAGCCAAAAAATCTTTCATCTCATGGCCCTCTCTACAATCCTGCCATTCTTCATTTGTTTGTTTGTTCATTTGTTTGTTTGTTTAACTCAGTGAGCCTTCAGTAAGCTTCTCTACACTCATTAGCTCACGGATGGATCTTCTGCTATTTCTTTTGTTGTTGCAGTAGGAGTGGCTTTTTATGTAGACAGATGTTTAAGAGATCAGAAAAGAAATATCACCATTATAATCAAGAGACATTGCATTATCAATGGAATGGATTTCCATTTTATTATTGATTTTGAAAAGTGGAAGCAAGTGAATTTGATATCAACTTAAATACTGTATTTTGGGGGATTCGGAGAAAAATAAAACTTTCTATGAGCAATAAGGAAGTAAAAATTAATGCTTTTTACCCAGAAACATGTAGATAAGGGATTATTAATACTTTTATTAAGTTAGGACCTGACTGCAGCCAACTTGTTGAAAGACATTTGGATCCATGTAGAGAAATTAGGAGTAACTTTTATTTTCATTTTTAAGATAAACCATTGTGAACATAAATTTATGTAATACACAATTTCAGATTTATGCCATTTTATAAAGAACCTTCTTAAAAATATATGGGTTTCACAAGGATGTCACAAAAAATAAAACTGTAGAACAACCTCACTTGTGAATACCAATTGGAAAACTGTAAAATATTACCAAGTGTTGAGCATTAGTGTTTGTTCATAGAGGTATTATTCACAATAGCCGAAAGATAAAAACAGCCCAAATATCCTCAACAAACTAGTAGATAAATAAAATGTGGTATACACATATAATGGAATGTTATTCAGCCTTATAATTATTAGAATAATAGAATTTCATTACATTCTATTACATTCTACGACATAGATGAACATTGAACACATTATGCTAAATAAAATAAACCAGTCAAAAAGAACAAATATATGATTCTACTTTCATGAAGTTCCTAGAACAGGTGAATTTATAGAGACAGAAAGTGGAATAGCGGTTACAGGGGATTGTGGGGAGGAAAGAATGATAAATTGTTCATTAATGGGTACCGAGTTTTTGTTTGGAGTGATGAAAACTTCTAGAAGTGGATAGTTGCATAACATTGTGAATGTACTTAATGCCACGTATTCGTGCACTTAAAATTAGTTAAAATGGGCTAGGTATAGTGACATGCAGCTACTTCCCAGCTACTGGGTAGGCTAAGGCTGGAGGATCACTTAAACACAGAAGTTCAAGTCCAACCTAGGTAATATAGACCCTGTCTCTAAAAATAATAATGACAGTGATATATATTTATTATAGTTAAAATGGTAAATTTTATGCTGTCTATTTTACAATAATAAGAAATATTTCAAAAATATTACCAAATGTATTTTAGTAGCACACATCTATCAGCATAGTAAATTACACTCAAATGTAGTTCATTTCAGGAATGCAAGATTGATTTAGTTTTTAAAAATATTTAAACAAATTCACTAATTTTTAGATCAGAAGATGCATTTAATAAAGCCAAGTTTCTATTTCTTATTAAATAAACATGGACGCATGTAATTAGTATATATTAACAACAATATGAATAAATAATTTATTGAAAAAGTGTTAGAGAGATAACCAGTAAGACAATTGGAGAAAAAAAAAAAGGAAGACCAGATCCCTATCTTATCTCATACACCAAAAAAAATTCTGTGTCTAATTAAAATTAAGCGCCAATGAATAAATAAATAAATAAATAAATAAATAAATAAATGTACTAGAATGAGTTATGGGCAATTTTATTTCATAAAGTTTAATCGGGGGAAAGTGTTTCCAAAAAAAGATTGAAATGACTGAAGCCATAAGTAAATGAATAAATTATTTTAAAACATAAATTTAAAACTTCTGCACAAGGAAAGTCATGTTGATAATTAATTACTAAAATCAAAAAGAAAATTCTAAATGTATATGAATATTTGAAACACATGACAGAAAATCCATGCCTTTCTATACAGAAGAATTCATATTTCTAACTGAACAAGAAGCTAATGTTCCTATCACACATGTATAGTGTAAGGGAAATTTCAAAAAAATGTGAACCTCACTTAGAAAAATACAAGTTATGATTAATTTGAGATGTTGCTGCTCTTTATCAGACTGATAAGTTTGGATTATAATCAATAATGATTTTAGGGCATGCGGAAAATTTCACTTCATAGTGTCTTGGTCAGAGAGTATAGACTCAAGTATTTTAGAGGGCAATTTTGCAAAATTAATTAATATCACAAAGGCACAGACTTTTGAAAGCAGTTGCATATCTAGCAATTTATGTTAGAATTATATATTTGTAAAAATACATATTGTTACATGAAACAAATGAGTTTGTTCCCCTTGAGTATAAAAGGTATACATGCATGTGTATACATGTGCATACATTTACATATAAATAAATGTAAGACAGATAATTTGAAGTAAAAGGGGGTTCCCTTTTTATTGCAGGCATTTTTGTGCTGTTTGAATTAGTTATTATTAATGTTACTTTCCTAATGATAAAGACATTTTAAAAATAGTTTGGGCTAATGTAAAGCAATTAATGTAGAAAAATTGGTTCTATGTAGAGGCTTTTTTTCCTAGAATGGAGGAACAAATAATTAAAACTAAGAATTATTATGTGTTGTCTATATGCCGAATACCTTATAGTTTTTACATATGACTCATTTGATTGTCACAAAAATTCTAATAATACTATCCTTCCCATTTTATATAAACTCTCATAGGAACTGACTTGCTAAAATAATAACATTAGTAAGTTTACAGCCTGTTGCCTTTATCTCATTACATCATATAGTTCCTTATTATAATTTAAGCATATCATATCTTAAAACGTGCAGTAGAAAATTTAACCCCAGACATGACTCCAAAACCCATCAAAATCTATTATGAATGTAAAAACCACATTCAGATTTTGTCTTTATGAAAAAAAATGCACGTTTTATTTCTGGTTTATGAGTAGATATGGTGCTTAAATTAAGAGCATAGTCTAAAACTCAAGCTTAGAGGAATGACTTAACTTTAAAACATTGTAAAATAGTCCTTAAACCTGGGACCTCACACTTAAGAGAATTACAGTTTTTATGACTACCCTGTATATGTCAGACACTGAGAAAAGCAGAATGAACTGCTATTTTCTTTTCTGAAGTACATTGTGAGTGTTCTAAAGGAGAGAGTAAGGCTTAAAAATATGTAAGTGGTTTTCCTAAAGCCCCCCAATATATTAATGATCGTGTTAACATTTGAACCTGGGTCTGTCTGCACCAAAGATCCTCTTTGCATTAAACCATTGTATAATTCACTTTCTTTTATCTGAGGAGGCATTGAGATAATTGTGGACACAGACTGCTAAGATTTCAAAGGCCCACAGACGGAAAAGCAGATGTATTTCTCCTCTGGTGCTAAGTGAGGCAGAAATAAACTACTCATTAGTTGGGAGTGTGTCTCATAGGTCATACGGCTAAATGTTCTACCCAATTTAGGAATCATTTCTACAGTATTTGTGCTACTCATCAGTCTGTATATGAATAATTCTAGAATTGAAAAGAAAGTTCAATGCCTCATAAACCAGTTGGATCTAATATTGAGCATATTGTGTAGACATTGCTGTTCAGTTTTTCCATTTCCTCATTGAAATATGATCCTTATTCCTGTAAGTTTCCACTGGTGCTGGTTTTGCCTCTGCAGCAATAAAGAAATCACGGGAATTAAAGTCTGTCTTTAACTATTATTGAGCATTGTCTTCATTGGCTTCCAGGACAAGACTATTTTTATCTCCTGTTGCAAAACTGCTTGTATTTGTCAGCCTAGTTTGCTGGTTTCTACTCTTCCACGCAACTTAATAGTATTTAAGTTCCCTAGGGATTATCTATGGTGCTCTTCTCTGTCTACAAATTTGTGACGTCACTTGTGCCATGCCCTTACATAAGTTTCTGATCCAGCCAAGACCTCTCTCCAAGACTTACTTACTTGAAACTGCCCACTTGACATCAACATATGGATATCTAGATATCTCAGATTCAACCAGTATTCTTCTTACCCCGTTTCTACTCTACCTGTCATCTACACTGTCTCAGCTGGTGACGGCACCTGATCCTTTTACTTGGTCATGTCAAAAACCATGGACACCCCCTTCACTCCTCTCTTTCTCCTGCACATTCTATCCAATGTGCCAGGCAAACTTAGTAGTCTTATGTTCAAAATATACCATGAATTTAAGAAGGGACTGTGGGAGGATGATGAAGTAGGAGGCACCAGAAATCTGTCTTCCTACCTAGACAACAATTGCAGTTGCAGAATCTGTCTGATGTAACTATTCTGTAACTACTGAAGCCTATTGAAGTATTGCAAATTCCAGGGGAAGCCATGAGTAGTAAATTGCCATTAATTTTGATCCGTTTCAACTGTTAGCACAGTAGTAGCTATCCATCTCCCAACCATTATCCCCTGGCAAAGAGAATCTTGAAAGCAGCAAGAGAGAAGCAACTTGTTACACACAGGTATACTTAATAGGACTATCAGCAGATTTCTCATCAGAAACTATAGAGACCAGAAGGCAGTGGGAAAATATATCTCAAGTGCTAAAATGAAAATACTGTCAATCAAGAATCTTATATCTAGCAAAACTGTTCTTTAAAAGTAATACATTGACACATTCCCACACACACAACAGCTCAGAGAGAGTTCATTGCCACTAGACCTTCCTTGCAAGAAATGCTTCAGGGGGTCCTTCAGGGTGAAATTAAAAGACACTAGACAGTAACTTGAAGCCAGATGAAGACATAAAGATCTTAATAAAGGTAAATAAAGAGCAATTATAAAAGCTAGTATTATCTTAACAATGGTTTGTAGCTCCATTTTTTTATTTTCTACAGATTTGAGAGACTAATAACATTTTTAAATGGTTTAAAAGCTGGTAAAATTGTAACTTCACTTTTTACTATATAATTAAAGAGATTAGTGTACTTAAATAATTATTAGTTTATGTTTTGGGGCATATAATATATAAAGATGTAATTTTGTGACATCAACAATGGAAACAGGTATAAAGCTGTAAAGGTGCAGAGTTTTGTGTGTCACTGAAATTAAGTTGGTATAAATTCAAATTAGAGTGTTATAATTTTGAGATATTAAATGTAATGCCCATGGCAGTCACAAAGAAAATAGCTATAGAATATATACAAAAGGAAATGTGAAAGGAATTTAAATACTTCACTACAAAAAAAATGAACTAAACATAAAAGAAGACAATAATGCCAGAAATGAGGGACAAAAATGCTATAAAACATGTAGAAAACAAGTAGCAAAATGACAGAAGTAAATTTCTCCTTATCAGTAAAGTTTTTCATTGAAATCTTCAGAGGATTTGTTCTGGGACCCCCCCCCCCCCCGCAAATACCAAAATTCTCGGATGCTCAAGTTCCTTATTTAAAATGGCCTAGTATTTGCATACAACCTATGCAATTCTCACATATACTTTAAATGATATCTAGGTTACTCATAATAACTTATCCCATGTATATAATTTATAATATCTAATACTATGTAAATTATTGTTATACTTTATTGGATATTATTTGTGTTATTTTATATTATTATATTTTATTTTTTCAATTTTTTTAAATTTATGGTTTAATGAATTAATAGATGTGGAATTGTGAATATGCAGGGCCAACTGTAATTACTTTAAATGTAAACAGTTTAAACTCTCCAATCAAAAGCGATTGACAGAATAGATTTTTAAAAGTGATTCAAATATATGCTATTTATAAGAGACTCACATTATATCCAAAGACACAAGTAGATCGAAGGTGAAAAAAAGAAAATCCTGGCACATGCTGCAACATGGATGAACCAAGAGGACATTATGCCATTCATAAAAGGAGAAATACTGTGTGATTACACTTATATATGAGGTACTTAAGTAGTCAAAATCATAAAGACAGAACGTAGAATGGTAACCTCCAGGGTCTTGGCAGCGGGATGAGTGGAGAGTTATTGTTCAGTGGATATAGAGTTTCAGTTTCAAGGATAAAAAGAGTTATGGAGATGAATGATAGTGATGATTGTACAACATTATGAATGTGTTTAACACCACTACACTGTATACTTAAAAATGGTAAATATAGTAATATTTTATATGTATTTCCCCAAAATTTTTTAAAAATTGGAACAAAGAACTCTTGTTACCCTGGGCTAAGTCATCACCTTCTCTCAACTGGGCTCTTATGCTGGCCTAAGTCATCGTTTTCTCTCAACTGAGCTATTACCTGGCCTAGGTCGTCATCTTCTTTCAACCCAGCTCTCTGCTCCTATACAAGTATCTTTACAATCCTTAACAGAGTAGCCGTGGTCATCTTTAAACATATAGGCCATACAGATCATGTGACTCCTCAAAAAGTTCCAGTGGTCCTCCATTTTACTCAAAGTAAAAGACAGGGGTTTGCAATTACCTACAAGAGCTAACTGCCCATTACCATCTCTAAGTTGCCTTGTTTATTCATTTTGTGCAGCAACCCTGGCTGGCTAGCATTCCTAACACTTGGCCCTCATATATTTACAAAATGACCTACCTCATGTAAAGCCACTCTTTGGATAACACTTTCTTAACAAGGTCTAACTTAGGCAACCTATTTAATATAGCAGCCTTCATCCATCGCTACTCAAGTACTCACAATCCCCTTACCTTTTACTAGTTTTTCTTTTTTCCCATAGCATATATTATCTTTTAATGTAGTTTGTAATTTGCTTGTTTGTTTTATTATGGTCTCTTCATGTCAGAATGTAAAGTTGCAAAATGTCTTGTTTGTTTGTTATATTATGGTCTCCTCATGTCAGAATGTAAAGTTGCAAAATGGCAAGTTCATCTTTCTTGATTACTCGTGTATCCCACTCACTTAGAACAATGTCTAGCACATAGTAGGTGCTCAATAAATACTTTATGAAAGGATATAGAATACAAATGACAGTTGAACAATAGAAGTTGGAACTACTGGGCCCACTTTTGCATGGATTTTCTTTCACCTCTGCCACCCCTAAGACTGCAAGATCAACTCCACCTCTTCAACCTTTTCCTCAGCCTACTTGATATGAAGACAATGAGGATGAAGACTTTTATGATGATTCACTTCCACTTAAGGAGTAGTAAATATATTTTCTCTTCCTTATGATTTTCTTAATAGCATTTTATTTTGTTTATCTAGCTTACTTTATTGTAGTAATACAGTATATAATACATATAACATACAAAATATGTGTTAATTGACTTTATGTTATCAGTAAGTCTTGCGGTCAACAGTAGGCTATTAGTATTTAAATTTTAGGGGAGTCAAAAGTTATATGTGGATTTTCAACTTTGTGAGGAGTAGATGTCCCAACCCCCTTGTCATTTAGGGATCAACTTTAATTATGTAGTCTCTTCTCTAAGATACTCCCACTTATGGAAGCACAGTTACTGTATAATGGATTCAGAACAAGGATCACCTGATAATCCTTTTTGTCATCTTACAGAATTTCCAGGGACCTGTCACAGTTGCAGCAGTGACATCATGAGTACTCCGAAAGAGGCTCAATATTGCTGTTTTCATTGATGACAGTTGCCTCAATCCTACTCTAATCTTGGCAGAGAGAGTTAAAGTATAAGAATAAAGCAATTACAGTGCAAATTTTACTCAACTGTAATGCCTAGCTAATCGGTTACTTTGCTTAACCAAATTTTCTTGTTAAAATGAAGTTAAAAGGTTAACTCAGGAATCACTTTCAAGTCATTACTGAATATTATGGTTTCATTATTTAACTATCCATTTTTACTAAGTGCAGCATATTGAACATTATTTGACCTTTTATAAATGAGCCTACACATCCTCCATGTCATCATTTTAAATATTAATTCCAATTAATTCATTAAATCATTCAAGATATATTTTTTGGATCTGTATGACGGTCACATGGCATTTAATAAATGTGAAAATGAAAAAGCTGCTATCACTGGTCTAAATAAGTGCTATAGTACATTTGAACAGTTTTCCTAATTTTATCTCACAGTAGGCTGGATTGAGAAACTTTGAGATTGTATTAGTTTGCATAGAAGCTTGAAGTCAGATTGTTTTTGATTATTT
The DNA here is from genome assembly GCF_000001405.40 of Homo sapiens. NCBI lineage: Eukaryota > Metazoa > Chordata > Mammalia > Primates > Hominidae > Homo > Homo sapiens. Next base: position 62,158,846 of record NC_000006.12, on the reverse strand, counting down.
AGAGGCTAAGGTTTAAAAAAAAAGCAAGAATATGAAAAAAATAGGTCATTATTTTTAAAACATGGAGCAAAGAAAGAGAAGGTATTGTTTAGAATGTAGTGTTGAGAGGAACAGAGAAGTAAGATCAGGGTAAGATTTATCTTCCTACTCTCAAGTTCTCTCAATAAGAGAAACCTTAATTTATATGGATGTCTTTGTAACATGGTAATTTTTATGTCTGGCCTCTTTCCTTGCCTGTAAAGTTTCTCTCTGGAAAGAAATCTGTAAGAATATATTAAGATATAGAGTTTTTGAGATGCTAATGAGATCTGTGGAAAGATAATGTAATATAATGGGAAAATAAAATTTTGAACTAGATAGACCTGAGTTTCAACCATAGCTGCACTATCGTTTAACTATGACCAGTGGGAAGTTTCATAAACACCTTCATCTTAACTGTTTTTCAGCTTCAACATGAATATAATGACATACCATGAGGTTTCATCAGGAATACATGAACATTTATGTACATACCTGGCATAGTGTCAGCACATGGTGTAAGCTGACACAAGTATAATCATCAAGTAAATATTAGCTTCTTCTGTTTTTTCATTTAATGACAGTCTTTTTGGAGGGATCACCTACTCTGTGCCAGATTCTATGTGTGTGTAATAAAACAGATAGTTGGAATTATTTATCTAAGAGTTCTTTAGTGCCATTCCTGAATGAGAGAATGATTAAGACACTAATAAGAATAGGGATGAAATGGATGAAAGGAGATAATGATTACATTACAGGTAATAAAAGTTGTGATTTGCTGACTGCTTACTATGTATCAATCACTTTTCTTTGAGATTTATATTATTACCTGATTAAATCCATTTAATATCTGTGGAATAAATACTGTACAGAAGAGAAGATTGAGGCACATTTAATTCAATTATTGAAACTCACATAGACATTTGAAAATGCATCAAGATTGAAGAAAAGGGGGAAGCTATGCATAAATCTTACTTTGATATCTGCATTGCTTATTTACAAACTGAATTTTTAGCCATATTCATCTTAAATACAGTTTTAAAACATTATTTCTCTTTATGCTGCTTCTTTGTTCAAATGTTTGGAAGTGGTGATTGATATTTGTGAAGTGTCATAAATTGGAAAATGAATAATCTACATATAATATTAAATAATGAAATGATAAAAATTATATAAACATGCTATTATTATTGTATTTTATGTATTAGACCTCTGACTCATATGCCACTTGGAATTAAAATAAATGAGTACGTACTTCAATACTACATTTCCTGTGTTCCCATCTGAAGACACATCTCAGAGATAAAATTGATGCTGTTGCTTATTACCCCAAAAACTGGTTTAATTTTAATTCCACGTGCTAACTAAAGGAGAGCAAGATGTTCTACATTTCAGTTAGTTGGATATATGTTGAGTAGTTCCAGAACTATGAAACAAATATTGAACCTTCACAAACATGCATTAAATTATACGCACATTGGGCTTAACTTACCTCTTTTTTTTTTAAAGGAGTCTCGTTCTGTCCTCAGGCTGCAGTGCAGTGGCGCTATCTTGGCTCACTGACTGCAACCTCCCCCTCCTGGGTTCAAGGGATTCTCCTGCCACAGCCTCCCGAGTAGCTGGGACTACTTATTTTTAGTAGAGACGGGGTTTCACCATGATGGCCAGGATGGTCTCGATCACTTGACCTCGTGATCCGCCCACCTTGGCCTCCCAAAGTGTCGGGATTACAGGTATGAGCCACCGCACCCGGCCCTCATTCTTATTCTTTTAAGAGTAAGTTATTATATTTAACCTAATGGAAAAAGTATTAATTTCATGTTGTCATAAAAAGCTACAAAATTGGCCGGGCGCAGTGGCTCACGCCTGTAATCCCAGCACTTTGGGAGGCCGAGGCGGGCGGATCACGAGGTCCGGAGATCAAGACCATCCTGGCTAACACGGTGAAACCCCGTCTCTACTAAAAATACAAAAAAAAAAAAAAAAAAAATTAGCCGGGCGTGGTGGCGGGCACCTGTAGTCCCAGCTACTCAGGAGGCTGAGGCAGGAGAATGGTGTGAACCCGGGAGGCGGAGCTTGCAGTGAGCCGAGATCACGCCACTGCACTGCACTCCAGCCTGCACTGCACTCCAGCCTGAGAGACAGAGCGAGACTCCGTCTCAAAAAACAAAAACAAACAAACAAACAAAAGCTACAAAATTAACTTTTTAGAAGAGTACCTCTAAATGGTAACAACAAAAAATCTAGTAACATTTTTATGACTTTATCAGCAAATGAAATCTAACAAAATGTGAAAAATATTCCCCATTGTACAGTCTTAAAAGTTTTTATTTTATAGTTTTATACTAATATGGTGGTTGACTTAATTACCAACATATGATCATGTATGCCATTACTTCATCTTGCTTTTAGTTCAATCTAAGTCTACCGAACTGGCCAAATAAATGCTTTATTGTAAGATTTAATGTAGTCTTCAAAAATTCTCTCTGAAATTGAGTATTAACATAAAAGTTTTTGGTTAATAAAAAATAGGTAGTACAAAATACATTAAAAAGTACATACTTTAGTAGAACTTGGGAAACATTTTTCACATGTTTATTATTTTTATATTTGCCACAGATCCTTTGAAATTATTAAAAGTTTTTTACACACAGTGATTCGGTACCTGAGCTATGAAGTGTAATTGGATTGATGGCATTGCTAAGATCCTTTTATTTTTTAGTATATAAAGAATTTTTTTCTGACTACACCCTGGAAAATGTATGGGGAAATGTCATAAATTAACATACAAAATGTGGCTGCCAAACAATGTATTGTATAACTAGACAGAGAAATTGCTGCAAACCTATTTCACATGTGTGAGCAAAAAGAATGAGCCCATTATGCACTCTGAAATTATGATGGGATTTTTCCCCTAAAATACACCAGCAGGACAGAACACTCCAATCTTCACAAAAATGGAAAGATTATGCAGAAACACTCACTTTTTAATTTTTTACCCCATTTTCACCCTTCATGTAAATGACTTATGTGAACTCTTGTATTTTTGTAAACTGTGGAAAACGGATATGGGAATAGCTTCTACTGTTCATTTTAAAAACAACTATATGGGGGAATTGTTTTTGATTATATAAATAGTATTCATGAGTTACAGAAACAATAGTTTAGCAATGAAGTTGAATAAAATGATGCATGCATACTTTACTATGTCTTGGACAGTGTTGGGGCCAGAACCAAACCTTAGTGGTCTTAAAGACAGCATGCAAGGCAGAAGGCATATGCATAGATCTTGACCTAGGTCCCTTATGTTAGTCTGTACCAATCCCAGGCAATCTCATCTTCTGCCATGATTTTCCGATCCATGTATTTGCTAATGACTCCTAAACTTGTATCTTTTCCCAAAAGCAGATACTTTTTCTTGACCTCCAGATTTATATATTCAGTAACTTAGTTGATATCTCCACCTGAATGTCTCTAAGATGGCTCAAACTCAACACATTCAAACCCAATTGATTTTATTTTCCTTAGAATTTCTGCTGGTACTTTTTTATCCCTATTCCAATCAATTTATTCTCTTTGTTATATAGTCAGAATTGGGTGTCATCTTTAACTCTTGCTTTGACTCTGCATTTACTAAATCCTGTCCATTTTTTTTCTCTAAACCCAGCTCAAATCCAGTTACATTTCTTCAGCCCCACTGCCACCCCTGTCTTCCAGACTACCATCTCCCAGACTCCCAGTATAAATATTGTATACATTTCTGCTACAGCCTTCTGACTGGTTTTGCAGAATTCAGTCTTTCTCTTTCTGATTTATTTTTCACAAAAGTCTTAGTGAGGATTTTAAAATAATATCATTTTCTGGTGGAAGACCCTTCAGTATTTCTCCACTGCCTGAATTCAGTCTTCATGACAATTTTTGTATGACTTGCATGGTCCCTTCTTCCCTTGAATTGTGCCATTAGTCACTTACCTGTTTTGGTTTAATTGTGGCATGAGTAATTTTCAAAACTAAAAGCTTTTGGTGTCATTGTGTAACCAGAAACTAAATAAGATAAAGCTACGTGGTAGTATTTTGAATATGGTGTTCCTTCAGCTGGCATTCTCCTCAATATCATTTGTGACATACTCATTGTTTTATCATTTTTGCTCCCTTGATTTTTTAACTCCTTTATCCATGAATCATTCATTCCCTTTTTTATTTTTTCCTTTATGTCTCAACTCTAAGATGAATAGGAGAAACTAAGGAAATTTTAAGAAGTAATCTTCTTTCATACAGAGAAAATGAGCAGAGATTGAGATGGCTTATAAATCAGAACCCTACTTTTTTTCAATAGATAAAAACCAGGTCTTATATTACTTACTATTTTTATAAATTAAAATTTGATATCTTCAAGAAGTAATCTGACTAGAAGTCCTATAAAATCACTTTGGTGAAGTAATTTTAGGGAATTTTGTTTCCTTTTTCTTCTACTCAAATCCAGACTAGGAAGTAATGCAGCAGGCAAAATAAGGCAAAAGAAATTAGGGATGGGAAAGGGAGCTATCCAGAAAGGACACAGAGAGAATCTCCGTGACACCTGAGTGGTGGTGTGTCCCTGGAGCCTGGTCATGTTATTTCACTGCTATGCCCACCTTTCCTAACCTGACACTTGCTTTTTCCAATGTCTTCTACAAAGTCTTCTCTGATACCTTTTCATACAGCCTCTCACTTGGTACTCTCCTTGGCTTTCCCCATTTTGTCTTGTCTGGGAAGGGCTGTGATCATATACTACCAAGATGATTAACTCAATAATAAAAGAAAGAAACGCTTCTACTAGTGAAACAAAGAAACCAAACACCCAGGACTCTAGTACCTCAAACTCCTTCAGAGAGGCCTATTTTGTGACTCCAGGATAGGCAGGTGGTGGATAACATAGTGGATGCTGTGTGAGAAATGCCTGAGACTGTTCCTGTTAAAATCATACTGTGAATGCTTTAGGCAAAGCCTGGATGGAGAGTTTTGAGGGGAGCCAAAGAATCTCCCTTAGACTATATACATGCTTCAAGAGAACTAAGTATACTTTATGTCAGGAATTTTTTTAAAGGCAGTAGGATTGAGTGAGTCTGACAGTAGCTGCTCCTAGGTCCCTACCACCCTGAGCAACTCACCATGATGTAAGTAAGCATGGCCCTAGTAGGTAGCAATGATCATATTTGGCCATTTTTCTCCCCATGCTTTAAAATCAACAACAATAAATATCAGAGTTCATATTTATTTAATTTAGTTTTAAATCCATACTCTTGTAAAGGGAGGAAGCATCGTGCTTAGTTACTTTTTCGTGCTTAAAAAAAATATAAAGGCTGAAACGTTTTCTAAGAGCCAAGTATTGACTATTTTGTCATAATATGAATCGCAGTACAATGCAAAAAGAAGGTGTCCATTTGCTATTTGAGATGAAATATGCTTGGACTCCAAGAATTTGATTCTGTACTCATTTTTTTTTCTTTATTACTAACTGGATTTTATTTTACAATAAACAGACATTAAGGAATTTCATCATTTGCTCAGCATTAGAGTTGTACAAGCAAATTAGGATTTGGAATTTGACTCTGCAGCATGTTCTGTTTAAAATACTAAGTAGGCTATTCCCTAATGTTCAATTCATTCATAGTTTATGGTAATTAATTTAAGTATTGGAAGAGAGTGAAACTAATCCTTCAGATATGACCTTAAAATGTGCAATTTAATGTTTTTGCCATTGAGCAAGCTATAAACTGTGAAATAATGTTTCAAAATCCAGGGTTTCCCCTCCAAGCTGTTCATTCACATACGTAATCACCAGTGAGCCACATGTGGGCCAAAGTCCCGATGCTATCAGGTGGATCCGGGATGCTGTATCTTTACCCTGCTGTGTTCATAGAATCTAAATATGCAATTTGAAGAGCCTGTAACAGGCTCAAGGTATTAATTTGTTTATTTCAGATCTAAGTTATAGTCCCTGAGGTTGCTTGTCATGCACAAGTTACTTCTCAGTCACTCCTGAGGATAGTGTGTGTATGTGAATGACAGCCACAGAGCAGCCTGCACCAATTTATACCAGCCATCTCTGTGGAGCAAGCAGGTGGCAAAGGGATAAATGGACCTCAATGAGGATTTAGTCAGGTCAAGATTTGAATATGTATTTCTCATCATCATGTTTAATAATATTTTAGTCAGTCTCCTATGCAAATTCTACTTCTGCAACTTTTAAAATAATCTGATAGATTAGATGAGTAGTGTATATCACACTAAGAAGAATTTTTTGTCATTTATATTCTTTCTTGAGAGTCAGTGATTATTAAGTAACTAAAACAATGCCTTCTCTAAAACGAGATTATCAATCCCATTTGTCTTAATGTGCATAAGAACTAACATTTAGTGAATTCTTAAGTGTTAGACACTGTGCTAGCTGACTTATTTGTATTATCTCAAGCCTTACACAAACCCCATGTGGTAAGTATTTTTTTGTTTGTTTTTTGTTTTTGTTTGAGACAGAGTTTCACTCTTGTTGCCCAGGCTGGAGTGCAGTGGCACGATCTCAGCTCACCTCAACCTCTGCCTCCCGGGTTCAAGCCATTCTCCTACCTCAGCCTCCCGAGAAGCTGGGATTACAGGCATGTACCACCACACCCGGCTAATTTTGTATTTTTAGTAGAGTCGGTGTTTCTCCATGTTGTTCAGACTGGTCTCGAACTCCCAACCTCAGGTGATCCTCCCGCCTCGGACTCCCAAAGTGCTGGGGTTACAGGTGTGAGCCACTGTGCCCAGCCAGTAAGCACTATTATTTCCGTATAGCAGATGAAAACACTAAGGTATGGAGAAATAAAATATTGCCCATCACATAGCTATTAAGATATGGGTGTGGTTCTTAAACCCAGGCAATCTGACTCCAGACCACATACTTATATTAACTGTGCTATAAACTAGATGGGCAGATGTTACCCGTTATCATTTTTTATCCATGTGATTGATATTTGCTGCGTTACACTCTATCTTTATTTGAAATTATTCACCAGTGCTACTTCTTTGCTAGGACAATCTACTGACAGTTTTCAGTTATGTTGCATTACTTGAAGTTGTGTGTGTGTGTGTGTACATACCATATTCTTCTTATTGTGCTAATAAGGACTTCAGTTCACCACCTAACAGGTTGAGTATGCCACTGCCACTTCCTTCAGAGGTTGTTGAGTTAATCTGTATCTCCAAGATGGGTGCCATTGTCTGTTTCAGATTATATAGGCCTGGAGAAGATTAAATTGTGGTGGGGTTTTTTTGGGTAACTTTTGAAATGTTTCTTCTTTTACTTAAGATACATTTTAAAGATGCCCTATTCATCACTAAAGAGGAATATCTTAAATATAGAGCCAGCACTATTGTTTAATATATTTTCAAAAAGTGGGTTATCAGGAATATTCCCAGACAGAAAGAGATTAATTCTGGGACTGTGATTGTGAAGTGTAGAAACAGATGGATTGTGTGTGACCCTATGTGAATCCAACTTGGGTTTTTGTGCTAGAGGAGGGGAGAGCAACTATCAGCAACTATCTATTGGCCACTTAATCAGGGGCAAGTTTTAGCCTTGTGTTCTTATGTTCAATTTAGAGATGAGGAAACTGAAGCTAAGGGAAATTCATTAAATATCTCGGCAATTCATCAATAGTATGTGATCGATAGTACATGGCTAAGCCAGAATTTGACGGTTCTGAGTCCAGAGTTCATATATGCTCCCACCCCTGACCCTGCTACCTTGTAGCAAAAGGTGCAGATAGAAGTATGGGGTAGGGACGGGTGAGGTGATGGGGTGAGAAGGGGGGAAATCTTACAAAGTAAAGCTTAAAGATTGTCCTAGGAGAATTGAGATTAAGATCAAACATGAATTATAAATAAGGATTACCTTTGGCTCTTAAATGGATGTAAGAACAAGACAGAGATCTGTCAGTTGCTTACAGAAGTATAAATTAAAATTGTTAACACATTGATTTGATGTCTCCTTTATAAATATTCACTGGGTTGTGGGAATGTAAAGCCTTCTGTGACACAAAGCTGAGATAACAAAGGACAAACTACTTTTAGAAAAACAACATATACACTGAGAGAACACACCCAAATAAGTGAAGGGAAAGGAATCGGCATTTTTCATTTGGGTGCTTCGAAAGTTGTACAGTTGGTTCAAGTATTTTTCTAAATAATTCAGATTCCAATCTTTAGTGGAACACCATTTAGAAAGAAAATAAAACATTATGGTTTGGTATTTATGCCCTGAAATGGGACTTCTCTGAATTCAAATATTGTACAACTCTATCACTTACTAGTTCCATAGACAGGGAAGGTACTGTCTCCTCCTAACCTCAGTGATCAGTGGCCGCTTACAAAATGAAGATATAAATAGCACCTACTTAGCATTTTTTAATTAAATTAGATAGTATATGTCAAACACTTAACACATCTTTTGAACATGGTAAGCAAGACCATGTATGCTACAATTTCTAGACTTTTTTTTTTTTTCCACAATCTCTTAAGCATGATCCCTGCATCAACTGTCACCAGCCACATGGTGGCAGCAAAAATACTGTCAGGGCCATTACTGAAAAGAGACATTATTCCTTTACATGATGAAACTGGATGTGGCAATGGATGAACCAACCCAACACAGCTGGATTGAATCTAGTAATTCCCGTTGGCTGGATGACTCTCTAAGACTCCCTTATACTGATTGGCTTTTACCATGAATTAAAATGAAGAAAGGTAGATTAGCCTGAATTCAGGATGTACTCTGTACCAGCCACAGAGCTGTGTGTTTTACATTTATCTCATTTCATTGTTTTAATAGTTTGTGATCTAGACATTAAAACTTCACACATGAAAAAAAAGGAGTTCAGTTGAATTAGATAGCTTCTTACGATCCACTGCTAATACATTTTAAATGTAAAAGATTGGAACACAACTTTGTCTAATTTAGGCCTATGCTGATGAAATGCTGGTGAAAGATAGAGTGCATCACCATGCTTCTGGTATACCTTTAACTAAAGCTGATTTTCAAACAATCTTTCCTTCTTTGTCTGTGACTTAAGTTCTTAAATCACTGCACCCTATTTAACTTAGCTATAAAATGACTGTCAAATTCTTTCAAAGTGCTTTTTTTATATCAGTTAATTCTCATATTTATTCAGAAGTTAACCTATTTAATGAATATTTGTTAAGAAAATTATGCTAGGCAGTGGAACAACAAACACCAGTGGGTTAATACTTGTTTTTTAAATGTTCACTTTTTCTTGAAGGACCTTTTAGTTGGGGGAATGGACAAAGAAGCAGACCACTACAGTACAGTATGGATGGACCCTGAGAGGTGAACTGCAGGGTGATTTGGTAGCATGTAAGATAGCTGTTGCTCTAGACTTCAGAATAAGGAAAGGCTCCTCATAGGATCTCAAAGACATTTGAGATGTTTAGGAATTAACACATAAAGGAGGAAAGAAAGGAAAAGAGAAAGGGTGAAGGGATAGGATTATTCATTGTATTAAAAGTGAGTACGTAAAAGCCCGTATGTTGTGGCTGTGATGTTATAAGCAACTTTGAGTGCAATTGAAAGAATTGTGGGTATTTTTTAAGGGAGGAGGTCTTCCTTTAATGGTGTAAATTTTTAAAAAATGACTGCAGTGAGTCTCAATCGTTTATGTTTATTTGTCAAGTTTAAGGCTGTGTCTGGGAAAGAACACAGATCCACAGGAAAAATTGTGGTCCTTTCTTTTTTCAAAGGAAATCTAAGGACCTCAATATTTAAAGGAAATAGGGCAGTTATTGGGGAAAGAGGGATAAATTTTTAAAAGGATATGGGTAGATAAGAGGCAAGTGGTTGCATTCTTTTGAGTCTTTGATTAGCCATTCACACGTGAAGGGGGTAGAGAAATAGTTACTTATGCATTCACCTAGCTCAGTGAATCTGAATTTTTACGTAAGATAAAATAAACATAGGGCAGAGGAAACAATCAGATATATTTGTCTCAGGTGAGCAGAAGATTGACTTTGAGTTCTGTCCTTTGTCCAGTACCTGTGAAGACAGGCTATCAATTTACATTGTAAGGGTGAAACTTAATAGAGCTTTTTTAGGGTAAAGTTCTTGAGGCCCTCGGATTTTTTTCGTGAGCAAATGGTGAGAGAGGTCTGAGGCTTGTTTTTCATTTGTTGTTGTTGTTGTTTTTAATATTTATAGCTATCTTATTTAGGAACAAAATTGGAGGCAGGTTTGTGTGACCCAGTTCTCAGCTTGACTTTTTCCTTTGTCTAAGTGATTCTGGGATCGTGAGATTTATTTTCCTTTCACAGTGGTTATGATGGACTCTGTGTTTAGCTATATACTGCTTACCATATTGTACTCTATCTGTTCATTCAATTGTCCTTGTCTCTAAGACTCAAGAGCTTCTTAAGGTTAAGGACTATCTTTATTCATAGTATTCTTACTGTTGAATAGAGTGTCCAGCTCATAAAGTGAAGTTAACAAGTGTTTAGATAGTTTAGCTAATTTATGCCTGTATTATGGGCCTTGTTATTTTTATTTATGAGTACTAAGAACTCGAGGTTTGGTCTATGGTCAGAGAATAGACTTTGTTTAAAAAGAGGACACCAAGATTTTTGTTTTGTCCTTTTGCTCTAATCAATTTAAAAATATCACCAGAATAATCCAGTTACACCAACTTTGTATTAATTTCCAAAGTCAAGTCACGAAGTCAGTCTGCTCTGTAAATGTTAACGTAAAAATATCTCTTAACACATTTGCCATGAATAATATTTATTTTTTCAGCTTGCTTGCTTCAGAATATTTAACATTTTTTCTACATCCTGTGGAATGTATCTATGTTTATTTATTCCTAGTTCCAAAATGGATAAAACTTCTAAGAGCTTTGTGTTATCCTTGCATATGCAAACGTTTTAGTGCTGAAATGAATTACTTAATCATAGGCTATCTGATCTTCTCAGGCAACCGTGCCAGGTATAGAGAAGAGCAAAGAAACTTTCGTGTAAAGAGAAAAAGATACTGCTGTCACTATTATCACATACATACACGGCCCTTCTTAACAAGGCACTGTAAGTGGTTTAATGATTACATTCATTATCTCCTCCAGCCACTGGACTTTCCAGATTATTCAAGGGCACATTTTCAAAAATGTTGGCAATTTCTAGGATTTTAACAATTACTTTAATTCTTTGTTATATCACATTCCCCTTGTAACACATAATTACTCTAAAGGACCTTTGAGTAGCAGCTTCTGATGTGGTATCCGAGAAGTTACAGCTGCAACCTCTCTGCACAGAAAAAAAAAATACTGAGGAAACTGAACAAAGGGAAACTAAGCAATGCCCAGTGACTTGTGGGAAGTGGTATGTTTTCTCTTTCTCTGTCTCTTTAAAAGATATTAATAATGTAATTTATAAAATTGGAGAACACTAGCTCACTAAACATATTGCTATTATTTGGCAGATTTAAGGAAGCTCTTCTGCTTAGTAGAGCATTTTCTGGGAAGGGATAGAAAAAAAGACTTTTGCTGACTTCAGTTTGGGCCATCTCCAAAGTCCTTGAAGCCCTAAGATTGATCATCCTAGAAAATTGAGGCAACACAGTGCAAACTTCTAAACTGGAACTAGGAAACTGGAACTAGGATACATAAGAATGACTAATAGAAACTCAAAGTGCAGTTTCTGAACAGAAACCAATTGTAGGGCTGAATAAATGTGCATATAGTCATGTGACTATCCTTTTGTATATCTTATAAGCATTTTTAATACTAAGGAATCTAAACAACTGAGTGTAAATATAACTGCTGGGGGCATGGGTTTGGGCATAAAAATATAACCTTTTACAGTGGGAGCTGCTCATATCCACATTCACTGGATCACAGATTGGGCTCCTTTACCCATGGAGAAGCCTATGCTCACATCATAATGCAAAAATATTTTTTTGAGTGTGTCTGGTGACATATCAAAAGTTAGCCTTGCCATAGATGTATAGCGTACCATTTTTTTCTCAACCCTTGAATTGGGGTTGGAGAGGAAGAGAAAAATCTTGCCCTGCTATTTAAGGGACAGCTTTCTTTTGGTCTCTTTACACATTTTGGCACATAAATGGAGTTTATGTGCATATGGCTTCCTTTATTTTTATTTAAAAAAATAAATCTATTACCCTGTGGATAAGAGACCTTGGCAGTAAGATTAAAAGCATTGTAGTAGAGAACATATTTTACAGGAACATATTTTACAGAAATCAAATCTGTAGAAGCTTATGTAAAAGCTATCCTTCCAAATTGACAAGTATGTAAGGGAATTTTTAAACCGTTTTTTTTTTCTTTTAAAATCCATGTATAAAGTAGCTACTTAAAAATAAGATTTAATGAGGTAAGGAATAGTAGAGAGAAGAGACAACAACTAGTGGATTTTAAAATATTTTTCTTTGTTTAGGTGATTTGGGAAACTGGTCATCCAAGATACAACCTTGGATCGTATGCCACCTTGGAGAGAGATTATGGAAACAGGTAGCGAGGAAAGTTTAAAAGCTATAGCAGATTTTGTTTTGTTTTGTTTTTAGGAGGTATTAATTTACAATAATCAATGATACTCTGAGGGTAGTAGCCAGTTTTGCCCTTTCAGTAGAATAGAGAAGAAATGTAATTCTCAAGGGGAGATGTATGTAAATGAAATCTCTGAAGACAGAGATATGGAAGAGACTTAATCAAAACAGACAGTGGTCTCACTATTTTATTAACATAATTGCCAAATCTTCTAGGATTCTTAGCTGACCTATGAGTAGGGAAACTGAAAGGAAGATATATTTTGAAATATTTGCATATACATAATGAAATATCTTGGGGGTGGGACTCAAGTCTAATCACAAAATTCATTTATGTTTCATATATACCTTACACATATAGCTTAAAGGTAATTTTATACAATATTTTAGATAATTTTATGCATGAAACAAAATTTGTGTTAGGTGATTATGTGTACAATTTTCCATTTGTGGTGTCACGTCAGCACTCAAAAAGTTTCAGATTTTAGAGCATTTCAGATTTCAGATTTTCAGATTCACAGATGCTCCATCTGTGTTAGATTACAATGAAAAGTTTGATTAAGCCTCTACAGTAGACATGATACAGTTAACATTGATGTGTTAAAATATGATTAAACTAGAATTAATAGCTAAGGTGAACTCCAACTCCTAAACACTTGGAAGTAAACCTAAAAATAAAAGAAAGAAAAAGAATTACTTTAACATCACATTGGTCCAAGAGCAAATTAAAACTGAAATTATTGGCTAGAAAACACTGTACCTAGAAAAAGATATGATACTGGCAAAATTTTTCTCATACAAAAGTCATTATCATAAATTACTTCTATTAAGAATGGAAATTATTAGAAATGCATTAAAAAGTGAAAAAGCGATGTAAGCTTTAATTGAATATAATGAAGTAAAATGATAAATTAGAAAGAAAACTATAAAATAAATTTATTAATTCATGAACTGATACTGTGAAAATATCAAGCCTACCAAAAAAAAACAAAAAAGAGAAAGCAGTAGGAATGATATATTGGATGTAACCATTATTTTGAGAACTGAAAACATAAAAATTATAAAGAAATATATACAACTGTCTTAGTCTTTTTGCATTACTGTAAAGGAATACCTGAACCTGGATAATTTATAAAGAAAAGAGTTTTATTTGGCTCATGGCTCTGCAAGCTGTACAAAAATCAGGGTGCTAGAATATGCTTCTGGTGAGACCCTCATACTTCTGCTCATGGCAGAATTGAAAGGGAACCAGCAGTGGGGGATCTTTTAAAGATATAAATTCAATTATGAATCCTGTTCAAAACAATTTGGTAGCTCCCTAATGCACTAAGGACTTACCTTTAATGTTTAACAAGGTCTATTACATGACCTTCTTTCCTAAATTTGTAGGCATGCTACTGTCTTCATTACTCATTATTATTCTTCATCCATGGCACCACCTGTCATGCATAATCTTATCTCAGATCTTTCACGTACCTTGCACCTTCATGCTGGGATATTCTTTCCACTGTACTTACTGTTAACTAAAAACTGCTTTTCTTTGAGCTGTTAGGTTAGATGTTATTTTTGCTAAGGAGACTTTCTTAAAAAACTAAATTAAATGGTGCATATTATTTAAAATACTAGAGTAAATATCGATTGGTAAGATGAAAATGAGATCCAAATCATTAAATATATTTGTAAAGAGCATGTAGCTGTTTCACGTGAACTCCAAATTTCTAGAACTTAGAATTTACGTATACAGGTATTAAAGGAGATTGCAGACAAGATTATTGAGCTACTGTCAATGTTTGTTGAGGAAAAAAAACATGAGGTTAGGAAGAGTTATGAAGGACTAAATGTGGGAAACTGCCTATTAATTTCAAAACTATATTAGTCAAGTTTACAGATTATTAACTGGATGACTTGCTATCAATGCTGAATGCAATTTTAAAAATAAATATTTTGTTAACATCTAAAACAGGAAAAATGTGTGATTATAAGTAAGTAGTTGGGGTTTCTAAATGCAAACCCTGTCAAACTAGTTTTTTAGGTAAGAAAATAGAATAGACAGCATTTCTTGTCTTTATTAAGAGGTTTTCACTAATTTATTTAATATATAGTAAATAGAGAAATATGAAACACAGGTAAAATTAAGAAGATGGTAACTGGTTGAAATAGTGTGCTTGATTTTAATAGTCAATTTTGAAAGATGTTTTTGGTGTGCTACAGAGCTATGTTTACTAGTTTATCACTGGCTTAGATGAGATAGAGAGTGGGCTTATATTTTGTTTTTTCAACTGGCAAAGGATGGCTGTTATGTTGAATATCTGAATTAAGTGTTAAGTTTTGTATCTTAAAAAAGCATAAATTTCAAAAGGATAAATACAAGACCATGTAATTTTTCCCAACACTTATGTCAGAAGTACTGTCAACATGAATCCATAATATAGGACAACTTCAAGAGCAGCATACCATTCAGAATAAGTGAGTCAGTAATCCTACTCTGCACTACTCAGACTCTTAAATACTACAATCTGTTCTAAGTCTAACATTCTGAAATAGAGAAAAAAAATAATAATCTGAGACTTAGCCAGGAGAGAATAGCCATTACGATTGGAGTGTTGCAAAATCACGTCCTATAGAAGAAAGTGCATGGAACTGGAAATTTACCACAGAAAAGAGAAGACTCCAGAGGAGAATAAATGAGGCAGTGTTCAAACACTTAAGAGTGATACCTGGCCATAGACTAGTTGTAGACTATGAAGTCCCTAATATTAATGGGTGGTAAATAACAGAGATATTGCAGCCCAATGCAAAGTTATATGAATGAAATAGATTGCTGTCTTTGTCTATTAAATATATACATTAAAATTAATTCTATCCATGTTAAAATAGTTTATCTACTATAATATAAAAGGCAAAGCCTATATTCATTTCTGAGTTCAGTACAATACAAAATATGTGTAATCATTAATGAAAAGAAAGCTTTTGTGGGAGGTGTATAGATGAGTTAGGAATTATACCCATCAGCTTAGTCACAATAAATTTATGTCATACTGGTATTGCATAAATTTTATTGTCAGAAGACTGAAACATCAAGTATATGCAGAAACGTTACTGTAGTTTTTGATGTATTTTCCCATCGTTTTTAAACCAGAATAAGTCAATTATGTTATAATTAGCTTTAAGGTAACTCTGTTATTGAGCTTAAGATTTCACAGATGCAGAAATTAAAGTGATTTTAAAATTCAATATTTTATACAAACTTAAAACCTATGTTTTCCAGTATATATGATATCTTTGTTATGGGGATATTGATTAATTAAAATAAATTCTTTGTTACAAATCATTGAAACACAAATCAAGTCAATTCAGTCATTCAATAATGTGATGATATATAATATTATTATAAACCATATATATTTTTTCTTTCTCAATATTATATATAATAATAATGTTTTCTGGATATATTTTGCCACCTGCTTGTTTGAAATATGAAGATCATTTTTAGGACTTCAAAATACATTTTTTATAAAAAGTATACACATATAGCTGATAGATGCTTCAGCAGTTATCCAGACCTTCCCAATTTATAGACATATTCATCGGGACTTAAAGTAGTCCTATATCCTCTTTATCATGAAATTTTTTCAAACGTTCATGCTGATTATTTCATTGTGGTGTTCTAGAGCTAGGAACAGTGCTACTGATGTTTACTTAAGAATAATTACATTGATAACAGTTTTAGATGGAAAGTAAACCCACATTTGCACGTAAAACGAACACAGTGGTTTGATACTTAGAAGAGCTAATCATGTTATGGATGACACCTAAAGGTTCTCATTGAAATCTATATGTAAATTTATCCGAGAGATGGAAGGTTGTACAGTTGTACACTCCAGGAATATTAATCAGCAAATTTTCAGGCTACAAGACACATTTCTACCCATCAAAACACAAACAGAGACCTAAAACAAGACAATTTAAAAGGACAAAGGCAGAAGTTTTTCATCCTGCTTCAATTTTATATCCTCTTCACCTAGACCTGGGCCTTTGGCAACCAGGAACCTCACTACAGTTTACCCACTGTTATTTTAGAGTATCTTGGCAGATCAACCCCAGTTGCTTGCCCTCATCAGTACTCTTCTCTCTCTATTTCCCACAAATTCAGTATATTCAGAAGAAAAGCATAGAGTTGCTACTGGAGAAGAGGTCGTCTAGTATGCAAAGAGCTCTAGGACCGGTAGTTAAATTTTGTTCCTCTACTTTTGGTGAGTTTTTGTAAGGGCTACTTAAAATTACTCAGTGATATTTTTGCCTTCATATAGTGTTTGATAAAGCTTAGGAAAGGCATATTTTTAAGCCCAGGAAAATCACACAAGATAATATGTTTTAGATATAATACATTTGACTGAAAGCTCTGCAGATCAACTTCTAACTTAAGATCTGAGGGTAAAATTGTACTAGCACTCATGTACATGAAAATTATCGAAGGAAATCCACTTACCCTTTTCATTAGTAAGGGCCTGAGTAATACTTAGGATAGAGTAAATGCTCAGAAAAAGAAGAAATGTTTACTATATAGAGGGATTGCATGTATATATCAAGACCGACTATAAAAATATAATCATGAGCCTATGATACATTTTTTCAAAGAACTAAAAATGCAGCATCTTATTCATTAGGCACAGGGAAAAGATTTCCTTCAATGTACTGCAGTAAACAGATGAAAAATTAGAAATCATCTGCTTCACTAACACTCAAATGTATTTTATGGAGAAAAGTCATAAAACCCAAGGGCATCTCCTTCCTCTGTCACATAGGATGAAGTTTTTTCTGTCCTATCTAAGGCCAAATGATTTATATTTTGCCAATTCTTCTATCATGCAGTGAACTTCTCCAGAGCCTTGGTCTCTTATATTATTTTTCTATATCACTTTCTCTACATATTGTTTACTCTTTAGTCAATATATATGTTTAAATCCTCCCCATTGTACGAAGAAAGCATACATCTAGCTGCTGTCTAATATCTTCTCTCTTTCTCATTTTAGCTTTACAATATGCATTCTACTCTCAACATCTTCACTTTTACACTGCCATTAGTCATCAAGTTTATTCTGACGTTCATGCTTATGTCTTCATTGTTCAAGATAGTTGCATATATTTTGAAAATGTTTAGCATCTCTTAATCCTGTGAATTAAATTTCCGTAGTTATAACAATATGAAAACATGTCATATATTTCCAAACACCCCTTAATGAGATGGAATTATCCTGATTATAAATTATTGTTCTTTCAAAACTGTGACTTTTAAGGTCCTCAGTGACACTCTAATTGTGAACACCAATAGAAGTTTCTTTGCATGCAAGACTTCCATGCTGCATTGCACACAATTAGACTCATTCTCCTTTTTGAAAGCTTATATTTCCTTTGATTCTAAAGCAGTGCATTCACCAATTTCTCTTTATACTTCTGTGGTTTTTCTCTTTGCCTTTTTTCATTGATCTGCCACTTAAATATCAGTGTTACTCAGAGTTACATTCTTAATCCATGGCACGCATGTAACACTCAATAACAGAGGTTCTTAATACTTCTGGGTTTTTTTGAACATCTCTTTTAGAATCTGTCCCAAAACGGAAAGTGTGGATGGTAATATGTGTATCATACAAGCATAGACAATTATATGTACATTTCAGAAAGCTTATGAATTATTTGAGACTCATTAATGGATTTTAATTAAGAACCCCTAATCATCTATTCTCTTTAACTGGGTTCATTTTGATAACCCTCAAATTTATAGAATTTATTTCCATGTTCACTACAAAAGTCTCCCGACTGTCCCTGCCTCTAGTCTTGCCCCGACAAATGCATCCTCTATTTAGCTGTCAGAATTATTTATCTAATATGGAAATCTGATTGCTAAACCTAAGATCGACATTAACTGCTTCCCACTATCCGTCTGTACCTAGCTCTTCTGCCTCATCTCTTGTTATCTCCTACACAGAAATACTTTTCATGGGGTGCTTACAATGAACCAAACATTGTATTAATGATTTTTACCTTGCTTGTTTCAAAAATATTGAATCTTTTAAAAGATATTGCTAAGAAATTTGGAATTTTTATTGGAAACTACAGTAGTCTAGGAGCTTAAGCAAAATATGGAAGGAAAGTAATAGTGAAGGAAAAGATTTCCTGGGAATCATGGAATAAGATTAATAAACCATAGGGTTTAGGTTATTTTTTATTTATACCCAGACATTTACGATATTTTAACTGAATATTTGAAAGTAAATAAAATGGGCTGGGTAAAGGAATAGTGATTGTAAGGTCTCAGGACAAAAGCGAAAGGTGGAACTGGCATTGGCGGCGGGTGGGCGGGGAGTGGGGAGGTGGCAGTAGCAAAGCATACTTCATGTGTAGAGAATCTGGGTTAATTACCCACAACTAAAGCAGCCCTTACGTGATTGTCAATTAATAAATGGTTTGACTTACCTCAAGTTAGCATAATCGTTAAAAGTCAATGAACTTATTCTTCTCATCAGTATTGCATAGCTCAGATTAAGTGTATATTGTCCTGGAGAGGGTGTTATATAATGTGAAATATGTATATTGAATCAATATTTAAGAGATGGGGCAATAAACAGTAGTCAAAAGATATATTTGTATTTCCTCCAAATTTGTCATTACATATAAATTTCTTTTTATTTTTTTTTTGAGGCGGAGTCTTACTCTGTCACCCAGGCTGGAGTGTAGTGGCGCGATCTCCGCTCGCTGCAAGCTCCGCCTCCCGGGTTCACGCCATTCTCCTGCCTCAGCCTCCCAAGTAACTGGGACTACAGGTGCCCGCCACCACGCCCGGCTAATTTTTTTGTATTTTTAGTAGAGACGGGGTTGCACTGTGTTAGCCAGGATGGTCTCGATCTCCTGACCTCGTGATCCACCTACCTCGGCATCCCAAAGTGCTGGGATTACAGGTGTGAGCCACTGCGCCTGGCCCATATGAATATTTTTTAAAATTTTTAACTCAAATTAATAGTTCTTTTTGCAAAGTAATATATATATTTATTCTCTTGTCTTTCCATTGGCATCTAGGGAACAATTTTTTTTCTGAAAATTTTTGTGAATGGCTTCTTGAAAAGTAATAAAATCTGAAACTAAAGGTTTCAAAAATCCTATGTTTTCAAATTGTTTTCCATCTAAAAAAAAAATCAAGCAATTTGTTTTCAGCACTACCCATTTCATGATAAAAAGAACAGCATTGTATTTGCTAAAGGAAAAGTGGATTGCAAACAATTACTTATGACTTGCCCATGGCCGTTTTTATACACTGCCTTGGGGGAATAATTTAAAATAACCAATTTTACACTCTTACTTTAAAAACATGCAGGCACTGTGATAAGATAAAACACTGAAGATGCAGGTTTGTTTATATTTAACCTTGTATTTTGTTATAATAGCAACACATATAGTTTTTGGTAACATATCTTTATTTTCCTTAAATTTTTCTTGAGGATTAATCTATATAAGTCATATCTGCAAAGTATAATGGGTTCATAAATTCTAGTTCATAGTCAGTTTCACAGGGAACCATCTCTAGGTTTAATCAACCTCCTAGATGGTCTTGACAAGCTTCAGTTATTCTGTTATTTCTATTGTTTGGCAACAGACTGCTATTTTAGGATTAAGTGAAAATGCAATATGAGCGACTCGCTGTAGAATCACTTTTTAAAATCAGACTTTGAGTTGGTCACAGAAATAAAAGACAACATTTTTAGTTAAATTTTTCTCGAGTAGAAATTTAGAGACACACTTGCTTTAACACAATTTCACATAAATTACAGTTGATGGTATAATTTTCTCCTGAAATATGGATCCTTTAAAACACCAATGGCTCTTAACAATATTGGCTTTATTGCAGAAGTGGCACTGCATCTTCAAATTATCTGATTAGTCAAAAGAGAAAATGCATTTCAAGGGCACAGCTGTTGAAAAACAGTGGCAATTACAAAATAATTGAAGCATGTCAAGATAACCTAGCTAGCTGAAGAGGAGTATATGATAACCTTTATGTATACCGTATTTGGAATCAAGGAAGACAGAAGGTTATTGAGTGCCTTTTCATATGATTGCTTGAACTCCAAGTCTTATTCAGAATATAGTGATCAATTGTGGTTGTGCTTCTGTGGCAGAGTCAGCCCACACGTCAGTTAAAATCCTTCAGCTGGGGTCCTAGGCAATGAGAGAATAGAAAATGCCTTAAGTGAACTTTACAGCAAAACAACCACGCAGAACAGTAAACATGGAAAGACAGCACATTGTGAAATTTTGATGTGATATCAAGATCACAGCTAAATCTCACTGCATAATAATTAAACCACTTAAACTTTGTTCATGTAACTTTGGGACACCAGAATATGAACTGGGATATTTTAAATAATGTATGAAAACTCAAATCAAAGTTTGTAAAGTGGTAGTCTATGAGCAGTCAGTCCTCACAGTGTTTTACATTAAAAAAAACTTTATACGTTGCCTTGGGGGAAATTAGTAGACAACATTTAAGACTTGAGTATGAAAAAAACTGGAAAAGAGAGTACCCTGGGATTTTATAGTCTCAGGTAGGTAGAAAGCAGTGGCTCTTTCCTTTATACAGAACATGCCTTCTCCAGTTTGCCCAATATCCACCACTCCCTATTGTTCACTAATACTAAGACCAACTATCAGTTGTCACTTAATGTAAATCTTGCAATGCTTTTTGATTTATAAGTACCATTTATAATTATCATTCTTCATTGCATTGGCTCTGAAGACCTTGTGTTTATAATTCTGCTCTAAATAAAACTGATTTGAAATTAAATGTCTAAAATGAGTTATCCCAGATGTCTGGCATGTCTATTTACATGCCAGAAATCTAAAAGAACAATTAGGCACAAGATCTGAGAATTATATTGATTTAAGAAAAAAAGCTGAGCTGGGCGCGGTGGCTCACGCCTGTAATCCCAGCACTTTGGGAGGCCAAGGCGGGCGGATCCTGAGGTCAGGAGATCAAGACTATCCTGGCTAACACGGTGAAACCCCGTCTCTACTAAAAATACAAACAAATTAGCCGGGCATGGTGGCGGGTGCCTGTAGTCCCAGCTACTCAGGAGGCTGAGGCAGGAGAATGGCGTGAACCCGGGAGGCGGAGCTTGCAGTGAGCCGAGATCGCGCCACTGCACTCCAACCTGGGCAAAAGAGGGAGACTCCGTCTCAAAAAAAAAAAAAAAAAAAAAAAAAGAAAAGAAAGAAAGCTGAAAGTCAGTCACAGGAGGTTTAGCATCCAATGGTCAGACCAAATAGAAGGGAAAGAGGAGGAATACATTTCAAATAGAGAAACAAAGCCAACTTTGCGAATGTTATCACCTTATGCAAGTTCTTACTTATGTCAACAAAGAGCAAGGCTCTTTGCTTCAGGGAAAAGTATGGATGGCTGTGTGTCTAAATGGCTGTGCTTTTAAAATGGTTGATAAGTGTTTGCCAGGCAGAAGCCAAGAATCTCATGTGATAGTGGCTGTTCATTGTGGTAGGGGGCCAACTTCTCACTGACATTTTAGCATTAGTGATATTCTTACATTGTAATTGATTTTCTTGTGTTATTTTCATAGAAGAGAAAAATACAAACCATAACATTATAAAACATAATTTCAAAAACGAAACCTATCATCTAAAGCAAAAGCAAATGCCATTTCTTTTGTGACAGTCATACAAAATTAAGATAATCTAGAATAAAATATAAAGAATAAAATGTATTAATGGTAATGAATGATGCTGAAACTTTAGCTATAACGCATTTTTCATATTTAAAGGAGCGTATCACCTGATTGAGAATCAATTAGTGAAACTGCCTCGTGTTCAGCTATATGATTTGAACAAAATTCTTCACCTGCCTTAGTTCCACTTTTCTTATGTAAAGTGTTATCATTAGAACACAAGATTCCTTAGACCAAGAGTGGACAAACTGTGGCCTGTGGACCAAATTCCATGAGTTGTTTCAATAAATAAAGTTTTTCTAATGTACACATTTAAAAAATTTTATTGTATGTATTTAAGGTATCCAACATGATGTTTTGATATACATATGCACAATGAAGTGGTTACTACAGTCAAGTAAATCTATCATCTCACTATCTATCATCTCACCTAGTTACCTTTCTTTTCCTTTTTTTTTTTTGTGGTGAGAATACCTAAAATCTAGTTTCTTAGCAAATTTCCAGTGCATAATAAAATATTAACTATAGTCCTCTTGCTATACCTTAGATCTCTAAATTTATTCATCTGAGATAACTACATCTTCGTGCCCTTTGATCTATATTTCCCATTCTCCCCCACCCCACCTTTCTACTCTGTTTCTTACAGTCCTTTTTTTGTTTTTTTACTTTCCATATGTGAAAAAGACTATGCTGTATTTTCCTTTGTCTGGCTTACTTTACTTAGCATAATATCCTCTAGGTCATCCACTCTGTGGTAAATGGCAGGATCTCTTTCCTTTTTAAGGCTGTATAATGTTCCATTGTATGTGTGTGTGTGTATATTTGCACATATGTACATATATATATTTATATATGTCACTATTTCTTTACCCATTCATTTATCCATGGACACTGAGGTTGTTTCCATATCTTAGCCATACTGAGTAATATTGTAATAAACAAGAGTGCAGATATGTTTTGGAGGTGATGATTTTAATTCCCTTGGGTCTGTACACAGAAGAGGTATACGTGGGTCATACAGTAGCTCTATTTTTAATACTTTTTAGGAATCTCCATACTGTTTTCCATAATGGCTGTACCAGCTGCATTAGTCTATTTTCACGCTGCTGATAAAGACATACCTGAGACTGGGTAACTCATAAAGGAAAAGAGGTTTAATGGACTTCACAGTTCCACATGGCTGGAGAGGCCTCACATTGCGGAAGGCAAAAGGTGTGTCTTACATGACAGCAGGCAAAGAGAGAATGAGAGCCAAGCAAAAGGGGATTCCCCTTATAAAACTATTGGATCTCATGAGACTTACTACCACGAGAACAGTATGGGGAAAATTGCCCCCATGATTCAATTATCTCCCACTGGGTCCCTCCCACAACAGGTGGGAATCATGGGAGCTACAGTTCAAGATGAGATTTGGGTTGGGACACAGCCAAACCATATCATTCTGCACCTGGTCCCTCCCAAATCTCATGTCCTCATTTTCCAAAATCAATCATGCCTTCCCAACAGTCCTCAAAGTCTCAACTCATTTCAGTATTAACTCAAAAGCCCACAGTCCAAAGTCTCATCTGAGACAAGGCAAGTCCCTTCTGCCTGAGCCTGTAAATTCAAAAGCAAGTTAGTTACTTCCTAGATACAATGGGAGTACAGGCGTTGTATAAATATACCCATTTCAAATGGGAGAAATTGGCCAAAATGAAGATGCTAAAGGCCCCGTGCAAGTCTGAAATACAGTGGGGGAGTCAAATCTTAAAGCAATTATCTCCTTTGACTACATGTCTCACATCCAGGTCATGCTGATGCAAGAGGTGGGTTCCTATGGTCGTGGGAAGCTCTGCCTCTGTAGCTTTGCAGGGTATAGTCTTCCTCCTGGCTGCTTTCACAGGCTGGCATTGAGTGTCTGTGGCTTTTCCAGGTACACAGTGCAAGCTGTTGGTGGATCTACCATTCTAGGGTCTGTTGGACGGTGGCCCTCTTCTCACAGCTCCACTAGGAAGTGCCCCAGTGGGGACTCTGTGTGGGGACCTCAACACCACATTTCTCTTCCACAATGCCCTAAGCAGAAGTTCTCCATGAGGACCTCGGCCCTGCAGAAAGCTTCTGCCTGGATACCCAGGCATTTCCATACATCCTCTGAAATCTAGGCAGAGGTTCCCAAACCTCAGTTCTTGACTTCTGTGCACCTACAGGCTCAACACCACATGGAAGCTGCCAAGACTTGGCACCCTCTGAAGCCACGGTCCAAGCTGTACCTTGGCCTCTTTTAGCTATGGCTAGAGCAGCGGAGACCCAGGGCACCAAGTCCCTAGGCTGCACACAGCAAGACGTCCCTGGGCCCAGCTCACAAAACCATTTTTTCCTCCTAGGCCTCTGGGTCTGTAATAAGAGGTGCTGCTGGAAAGGTCTCTGACAAGCCCTGGATTGTCTTAGCGATTAACATTTGGCTCCTCATTACTTATGCAAATTTATGCAGCCAGCTTGAATTTCTTCTCAGAAAATGGGATTTTTCTTTTCTGTTGCATCATCAGGCTGCAGATTTTCCAAACTTTTATGTTCTGTTTCCCTTTTAAAACTGAATGCTTTTTACAGCGCCCAAGTCACCTCTTGAATGCTTTGCTTTTTAGAAATTTCTTCCACCGGATACCCTAAATCATCTCCCTCAAGTTCAGATCTCTAGGCCAGAGGCAAAATGCTGCCAGTCTCTTTGCTAAAACATAGCAAGAGTCACCTTTACTCCAGTTCCAAACAAGTTTCTCATCTCCCTCTGAGACTACCTCAGTCTGCATTTCATTATCCATATCACTATCAACATTTTGGTTAAAGCCATTTAACAAGTCTCTAGGAAGCTCCAAACTTTCCCACATTGTCCTATCTTCTTCTGAACCCTCCAAAATATTCCAGCCTCTATTACCCAGTTCCAAAGTCACTTCCACATTTTCACATATATTTATGGCAGTGCCCCACTCTACTGGTACCAACTTACTGTCTTGGACCATTTTCATGATGCTGATAAATACATACCTGAGACTGGGCAATTTATAAAGGAAAAGAGGTTTAATGGACTCACAGTTCCACTTACTGGAGAGGCCTCACAATCATGGTGGAAGGCAAAAGACACATTTTACATGACAGCAGGCAAAGAGAGAATGAGAGCCAAGCAAAAGGGGATTCCCCTTATAAAACTATCAGATCTCATGAGACTTACTACCACGAGAACAGTGTGGGGAAAGCTGCCCCCATGATTCAGTTATCTCCCACTGTGTCTCTCCCACATCACGTGGGAATTATAGGAGCTACAATTCAAGATGAGATTTGGGTGGGGACACAACCAAACCATATCACCAATCTACATTCCCACTAAAAATCTAGAAATGCTTCCATTCTCCACACCCTCACTAACATTTGTTATCTCTTGTCTTTTTAATAACAGTCATCCTTATTTAAAAAAAAAGCCCGTTTGTATATGTATTGTCTATGGCTGCTTTGTGTTATGACAGAGTTGAATAGTTTCAAGAGACCACATGGTCTGAAAAGACCAAAATACTTTACTATGTGGCCCTTTATGGAAAAACGCTGTTGAGTCATACCTTATATCCTCAACTAATTTTTATGAGCAAATTAGATCAAAGCAAGCCATGTTGATCTGATTTAAAACTATTTGGATCTGTATTATGATATATGATTTCTGGGCTTGATGCTGGAATTTATGGGATTTTCATAAAATCCATTAGAAGGGAAGAGAATAAGAAACCTGATAGTTTTTAAACATATTACACTCAATGGTGTAATGAAAATAATAATGCCATGTTTTATGTTTCTACTAAGCATCTTTCAGGAAACAGCAACATAATGGTTGATAGGTTTTTATGGGGCAGATTTATTTTTAAATCAGCCTAAAACCATAGAAAAACCCTCATCAGTATATTTTGTTTTGTTCCAGATACGCAGGCTTCAACCATGGTAGCTGCTTGCAGGTGATTAAATGTAATCCATTAAAGGAATGATTTTCAAACTTCAGCTGCATCTGAGTCACCAGAGGGCTTGTAACGAGACAAGATATTGGTCTCCATCCTTAGAATTTCTGATTCAGTGGGGCTGGGAGAGGCAAGAATATGCATTTCTAATAAGTTCCCAGGAGGTAATGATTTGGGTGCTTGGTCAAGGAACCATACTTTGAGGACTACAACCTTAAGGTATTTACTCAGTGATGAAAAAACAAGTGGTGTCCTACATGACATCTTCATGTGTACATTTTGTTTTAAGAATGACTTAGCTGACAGATTAATCATTTAAGCAAAATAAGGTTTAAATATACTCTTCCATGTATTCATCAAATCAATGAAAATCTCAGAATTATCATAATTAAATAGAGGATGGAGATGAACTTTTACCTTCCTTACAAGGTTATTTGGAAGTATTTTTGATTACTTAGTAATGTGAAAAAATTACTATTAAAGTGTAAGATATTTACCAAAATGTTAAGATTAGCAAGTTTATAGAGATGTAGTTCATCAAAATATACTGAGTGATTTCACTGATTTCTATCCAGAATGTCTACTTCATCTTATCCTCAATGCATTTTGAATGAACAGATGTTATTTATATTGTTAGAACCTTTCACATACTCATTCAGAACACATCCCAACAAAAAAAGTATAAACCATTCATTGAAAATGAGACAATGTACTAGACACCTTAAATGTATAACATGTATTTCTCATTTACTTCTCTCCATATCTACTCTTTACTTGTCTTCTCCCTGTTTTCTGCTATGGGAGACTGATATACATGTGTTGCATCAACAGGCTTCTATGACCTCTGGCCTACTGTTGGGTTCAGCCAATTAGGACCCCAATAGGAAACCAGAGGATGAGAAGAGAATGGAAAGTAAGGGGAGGATATCTATTTCCCTGGTACTTCCCTGTGAAATTCCCTTAGAATGTCTATGTTTCATCAGTGTCACTGTTCCTCTCATAGTAGCCTGCTCTACACAACTCCCACTCCTTCCGCTAACCTCGGCTCCCTCGTTCCTTCAGACTTGGTGAAGGTACAGCTTGATGCTGCTAGCTTCACATGGGGATTCACTTGTACTGCCCCTATGCACTACTCTAATCTTCATAAGTAGCCCTTCTGTAAATAAGCTCTCTTTAAATTATTGCAAGTTCAGTGGAATTTGTTGAGATCCTTGCTAATAAAAGCATCCTTGTAACGATTTAATTAAGGAAATATTTCTTCACTTAACAAATGAGAAAGCTAAGACTCCAAGAGATGTGGCAGTGTCTAGATTCAAAATCAGTCTCAATTCTCAAAAGTACAGTTTTTCTACTATCAAAGGTTCTCAAGTGTGGGCAAACATATAAGATTACTAGGGGACTTTGTAAAACGTCGATTAGTAAGCTTCATCCTCATAAATTCTGATTACAAGATATATTACAAGTTTTAAAAATCTGTATTTTAAAAATAGCCCAGGTTTTTCTTAAAATAATAATGTTAATAATATTAATTCTTATAGCATTATTATAATAATTATGTAATCATACTAGTACAGGTCTTCCTTAACTTGCAATGGTTTGACTTATAATTTTTCAACTTTACCATGGTATGAAAATGATGTACATTCTGTAGAAACTGTACTTCCAGTACTTATACAATCATTGTGTTTTATACTTTCAGTACAGTATTTAATACATTGCATGAGATATTTGACACTATTATAAAATAGGCTTTTTTAGATCATTTTTGACCAACTGTAGTCTAATGTAAGTGTTCTGAGTATGTTTAATATAGGTTAGACTAAGCTATGATGTTCTGCATGTTAGGTGTTTTAAACACTTTCTACTTAATATTTTCAACTTACAATGGGTTTATTGGGACACAACCTCATTGTAAGCTGAGGAGCATCTATATATTATTCATTATATATTAACATATAAATCATCAATATATTAATATAGTAAAAACAATTATGTTAATAAAAGTTTCTTTATAAATACCATTGCTCATTAACAATTGTTATCTTCCCTATTAGTTATCTTCATAACAATTGTAATGAAAAACGTAGTATTTTTATTCTCCTTTTACAGATGAAGAAACTAATGAATCAAGAATTTAAGTAACTTAACTAAGATTGTATACTTTAGTTCAGCGGCATAGGTATCTGATTACAGAGCCCATGCTCTTGAATCCTGCACTATGCAGCGGACCTCTGGATGATTATTGGTGAGGTGCAGCAAACTATCACTTGGTCCCCAATTTACTGCCTCAATTTTCTCACCTTACCTTACATCTCTACTTACTCATTAAAGGGGATGATTCTACCACAATTATGGCCCTAATTTTAAATTTATCTTCTCATGTGAAGGGCTGTGAAATGAATGATTTCACCTGCTTTTATTTCTTTATAAATTAGTTTTCATAGACATAGCTGTGTCCCTTCTGAGCATTTTGGAATTAAAAATGATAACCATAAGCAATTAAGCTAGTTTTTAAAAAATTATCTGGAATTAGTAGTTATGCACAAATACGTGTCCAGTAGAAGATGCACAGGTGTTCTTTCAACTAATTATATACAAATAATCTCAGCTAATTTTCCTCAGTTTTTAAATATCATATTAAACATCTAGAACATTGCCTACAGGTGATAATTGCAATTTTATTATATGGTATTTTCTTAAAATTCTAGAATACCATTCTCCAATAAAACTGTGCTCATGAAAACCATCTATCTGCACTACCTAATACAGTAGTCACTAGCCACATATGGCTATAGAGCATGTCAAATATGGCTAGTAAAAGTGAAAAAAAAATTTTAATGCTATTTTAATTCAATTAATTTAAATTTAAATAGTCTCTTGAGTAGTGGCCATCTTATTGGACAGCACAGTTCAGTAAAGCACCTTAAAGAACATTCTTTTGTCACTACTTCTTTATTTGACATATTTTAAGAATATTTTAAAACTGTGTTCTTTTTAAACTTGGAAGTTGTTAAGATATTTAAGCCATTAAAAAGATTTTGCTCTTCTTAAGTTCCGTTTTATTGCTATTTTAATTTAACCCACTCTACCAAAAATATAGTTGCATTTATGTATTTTGAATCTAATGACATATTCCTTTTGTTCCTGTGTTATATTTTTCATGACTGCACTTTTTTTCACCTTGGAACTTTCC
Organism: Homo sapiens; assembly: GCF_000001405.40. Lineage (NCBI taxonomy): Eukaryota > Metazoa > Chordata > Mammalia > Primates > Hominidae > Homo > Homo sapiens. The sequence goes on along the minus strand of NC_000006.12, from coordinate 62,129,356 downwards.
TCTCTGTACCTGTGATGGATGTTGTCAGAGTACTTACAATGTTTAGACAGTTCACTCATGAATGACATTTACCTGTAAGAATGCAATGCAGTGTGTCTTCTATAAATCTTTAATCAAGTATATAACTTGTTGTGGGGTTTTAATAAACTTGTAAACAGAGGAAATTTAAAGCCATCATTTCACACTGTTTTAATCCATAAAATATAGAAAAGTAGTTGTTATTTTATCCATCTGCAGCAAGATGGAGTAATTTTAACAAGCCTTGGAATAAATACATTGAATATGATACACATTTGTCAGTTGAGTCTGACATCCAACTTCATGAATATAAAAGGTCCTATTTATCATTCAGTGATAGTCACACACATTATATTTATCATGTCTATATGGAATAAGTTATTTTCTGAAACTTTGTTATGTTACTGCATAGGAATTATCTAAAACAAAGTAATTATAATCATGTTAAGTATATAAGCAGAATGTAACTACTTCAAATTTGCCTTTAATTTTATATTAATCTATATGTTGGCTGGGATATGATTTTAATTTGTTGATTTTTTATTGTGTCGTTGTAATTGTTTACATCTGGAAGAAGGAAAGATTAATTCTGTGCTGCTTATAAACATCTACACTAAAAATATATTTAGAAATATATGACTTCAATTTATCAAGCTGAACAAAAAAAAATTAAAGCAGTTGACTTATCTAACAGATATGAAAGGAGATTTTTATTTTAAGAGACAGTGTTACTTCTACATTCGCCATAAAAAGAGAATATTCAAGGAAGAGAGAGAGAGAGAGAGAGAGAGAGATCATTAAAAGAAATTTAGAGATCATTAAATTTTTGACTTAAATGGTGTCTCATTCCTAAAAGTTACCTTTCCTGTATTTCCAGTAAGATATCTATTAAAACACATTCTTAAAGAGAAAAAGCTTACATGATGAATACTTGGACTGTCAGTCTACCTATTTACAGGAACACAAAGATCTTTTCACCACCTGCATGGCCATTAAAAGTAGACTGAAATATCCAATCACAGGAACTCTCACAACAACCTTATAAGGTAGCCACTGATTATATCCCCATTTTACAGTGGGAAAATGAGCCCAGAGTCATAGGCCCATAATTCTATAGGGAGTAAAGGGAAGAGTAAAGATCTGAACCTAGTCCTGCTCACTATTTCATGCTCTTAACTATAATTATATTATCACCTAATAGTCTCTGCCTTGTGATACACTAATACGATGAGAAAGATTTGTAAATATTTAGATGCAAGGAAGTAACTGTTTCTGCATTAGAATCATGTAAAGGGACATAAAAGAATAAAAGTTGCTAATTCTATAAAAGATGGGAAAAATGTAAGACAGGTACTCTTGTTTTAGCCTTAGTGATTGACTACTGTCAGTAGCTTCTCAGCACAAGCCATGGTCCCTGGCAGATGTTAACTAATTGATAATTGCATGATTGAATAAATGAACCAATTAGATGATCAACGAATTGATCAATCACTGAATGAGAGACTTTACAGAAAATCATAACCAGAATGTTGAGGGAATCTTGAAGTGTTATGTGGAAACTATAAATGTTAGACTTGAAAGACAAATATAGCCTTCTTACAAGTAAAAATCCTTCAAATAATTGAAGACAGTAGATTTGTTCTGTGTGGCTCCAGAGAGAAAAATTAAGACAAATTAGTAGAAATTACAACCTAGCAGATTCTAACAGAAAATAAGAAAGTATTAGATAAGAGTTGTTTCAATTTGAATTTATAAAATGTAAGAAAAAAAAACTTAGTGTAGTAAAAACCATTATTCAAATTAGATGTATTTTAGACTATCAGTATTAACCTATTAATATATTATTGAGATTTTAAAGTAAGGATTATTTTATTTGACCAACTCAGAGATAAAACTGACCAGTTTTATGTTTTAATCTTCATTTGCCTCGCAAGTGCTTGGCAATATATATATTTTCACTCTTATGTTTAAGAGGGAGTTTAATAGTGGCCAAAGTTTGTTTTTTTTATTCCTTTTGAAAGCCCATACTCCTAATAGGGCTTGATACGTAAATTGAAGCAACATTGGTAACACATAGAATTATGAATATCTATCTCTATCTTCAAAACACTTTCAATATATACATGACAATTATGTATGTGATTGTATTTCAATACTGTAGGTTTTGAATCTGAAGTTGTATTTAAAGTAAGGAGACTCACTTGCCACCATGTCCTCCTAGTTTAAACCACGCCAAATTAAATTCTTCTATTTAGGAGTTGGTGAGAGTAAGACAATAGCTCCCTAATTACCCTCTATTTACTTACCTTATTGTGAAAGATGGTGCAGCATTATTTAATAACTTATTCAGCCATAGGAAGCCTGATTTGATACACGGAAAAGATAGAACTAAATAACTCAAGCTACTAAAAGGTGTACATGTTTCATTGTTGATCAGCCAGGGAAACCTATATATAAAGTTAAATAAATCATGGTTCTAAAGCTAAACTGAAGTTGGGAAGTTTCTTTCTGAATAAATAACTATTACATCAGTAGTCTCAAGGATCACAAATAAAATAAGAAAAGGAGAGATCTGTCTAGCTTTATGAAGATTGGAAAACTTTGAAATGAGGAACAAGCCTTTCATAGAAAATATATTCTTCTTAAGAAGGAGGCAAAATATACCAGTCCTTCCCTTACTTTTCCCCAATCAAATGAAGTCTGTCTGTGGTGAGCTGCCTAGAGCTGAGGGAGGGGTGGCCCAAGTACTTTTGTGGCCATCACCACTGGGACTGTGCTAGGTTGTCTCTGAAGCCAGCCTAGCACTGGGTTTCATCTAAGGCTCTTGGTAAGCACTGTCTGGCTACTGCCTATCTTTGCTTAAGACCCTAGGGTTCTACAATCAGCAGGTGGTGAACCCATCCATTCTTTAGCAAAGTACTTTCCCTAGCCCTAGGCAGGTCCAGAGATGCTGTCCGGGAGCCAGGGCCTAGAATTGGAAACCTTAGAAATCTACCTGGTGCTCTATTCTACTGCAACTGTATTGGCACCCAAGACACAAGATAAAGTTCTGCCCACATTTCCCTCCTTTTTTCATATAAGAAATGGAATCTCTCCCCACGGCCACCACTGCCCTAGGCCCACGGCAAATACTGCCAAGCTACGCTAATGTTCACTCAAGGCCCACGGCCTCTTCAGTCAGCTTGTGGTAAATGCTGCCAGGCCTAGGACTCTCCTTTCAGGGCAGTAGGTGCCCTGCTGGCCCAGGGCACGTTCAGAAATGCCATCCAATAGCCAAGGCTTGGAACTGGGGACCCCAAGAGACTGCTTAATGCTCTACCCTGCTATGGCTGAGCTGGTATCTAAGCTTCAAGACAAAGTCTCCTTTACTCTTCCCGCTCCTTTACTCAAGCGGGAATCCCTCTCTGTAGCCACCACAGCTTGGAATATTCTGGATCATATCTGAAGCCAGCACATCTCTGAGTCTCACCCAAGGCCCAAGGTGAATACTTCCTGGCTACCCGTGCTGCTTATTTAGGATCAGAGGCTCTTTAGTCAGCGGGTGAAGAATTCTTCCAGGACTGGGTCCTTCCTCTCAAGGTAGCAGGTTCCCTCCTGGCCTGGGGTATGTCTAGAAATGACATCCAAGAGCTGGTGCCTGGAATGAGGACCTCAGGATTGTGTCCAGTGCTATATCCTACTGTGGGTGAGCTGGCAACCAAGTCATAAGACAAAGTCCTCTTTACTCTTCCCTCTCCTCTCTTCAAGTGGAAAGAAGGAGTTTCTTTTGAAGCTGTGCTGCCTGGGGCTGGGGATGGGTGGTGCAAGCACTACCTTGGCTGCCCCGGCTAGTATCTCACTGAGTTGTTTGCCCCCCAAGTCCACTGGCTCTGAGCCCAACATAGCATCAAGACTTGCCCAGAAATTTCAGGGCTGGTGGCATAGACTACTTTTCAGGTTCACTGAGGACCCTAGAGCACTTAAGCCGAGGATGGCAAGGCTTACTGAAACTCAGGTTCTGACAACTGGAATGGGCATTTCCCCTCTGGGTAGGTCTAAATCCTCCCACTATGGAAGCCAGCTGAGTTCTCGATGTTGCTTTCTATTGTGACAATGCAGAGTCACATAATCACTGCCCTCTTCCTCTCGCAAGCACACAGATTTTCTTTCCCTGCCACACAGCTACTGCTGCTGCTAGGGTTTTGGGAGGCATGGCATGGGCAATTCAAGACTGTCTTTCTTACCCTCTTCAGTGCCTCTTTCAGTGATATGAAGTTAAAACCTTATTAATAAGTGCGTAAAGGACATGAACATTTTTCAAAAGACAAACAAGTGGCCAAGAAACATGAAAAAAAATGTTCAGTGTCCCTAATTATCAGAGAAATGCAAATTAAAACCACAATATGATATAACCTTACACCAGTCAGAATAGCTATTATTAACAACTCAAAATCATAACAAATGTTGGCAACGATTCAAGGAAAAAGGAACAGTTATATGTGGCTGGTATGAATGTAAATTTGTACAACCTCTATGGAAGACAGTATGGAGATTTATTAAAAAAATTAAAAATTGAACTACCATTCAATTCAGCAATCCCAGTACTAAGTATCTACCTAAAGGAAAAGAAATCATATAAAATAGATACCTGCACTTGTGTATTTATCATATTATTATTTACAATAGCAAAGAAATGGAATCAACCTAAGTGTCCATCAACAGATGATTGGATAAAGGTGGTGTGTGTGTGTGTGTGTGTGTGTGTGTGTGTGTAGTATAGTTCAGAAAAGGTTTCATGATAGAGCTGATTCTTAAATTGAGCAAGTTCCTATTGAATTAAGTAGAGTACATTCCAGGAAAAGTGAAATATGTTAATAAGACACAAAACAGGTTTGCATGATAAGAATCTCTGCATGTTTTTGTGAGTCCACAGCACCTGGTTTAAAGTGGTGTCTGTTGATGGGAGCTCTCCAGAGAGTGGTTTTTGGAAATAGGATCACACAAGGACCATATATCCATCTCAGAAAACCTTGGACTTTATTTTGCAGACATGACAGAACTATGAGCAACTTCTCTCTTGTAGGAAGTTATAAATTGCTTGAAATTGGTACTCAGGATTGAGGTTCTAAGTACACATTTACTGTATGACACTTGAAGCCAAGGAGATGAACAAGGTCACTCTCAGGCAAGAGTAGGAAGCTATGCTCAGATCCCTGGGGGTACTGATATTTAGATTCCCCATGTCTTTACAAAGCAGTCAAGTAAGATGAGAGCAGAAAAGGGTCCATCAAATTTAGCAATTTTGAAGTTACTTGTAACCTTTGCCAAAGCAGTTTAAACATATACAATGAAAAGGGCAAGTATAAGGGGGGAAAAATCAATGAATCAGTGTAATAGGATTTTATCTATTCTGCATGTTACCAACTTTCAAAAGAGCAGTTGTTTTACAAGGAATATATCTCATTAGTTTATATTTTAATTGATAAATGCAAATGTGTCAACAAAACAGTACATAACAACAAAAGGAGCAATATTCATAAGTGTCCACAGGTCCCAGACTGCCTGATGTCAAATAGCACTGTAGGATTTCCATACCTGAACATAATCATATAAAATGCATCTCATCGAGTGGCATTATCAGTGATAAGGTTCAAATGTTTTCATATTTATGGCCTAATGCTCTCTGAAAAATTAAACACAACTTTGAACAAATGTAGTTTGCTGAGTGGTGTAAATTATTTAAAAAATTATGCATCTCAATATATCTAAGATATTAAGAGGCTGGCTATACCATTTACAAAACAGTAGGCAGGATTAAAGGGTGCAGGATACATTTTGTGGCATGTTTTATAAAACCTTTTCAGTTCAACCATTGTAGAAGACAGTGTGGCGATTCCTCAAGGATCTAGAACTAGAAATACTGTTTGACGCAGCCATCCCATTACTGGGTATATACCCAAAAGTTTATAAATCATGCTGTGATAAAGACACATGCACACATATGTTTATTACGGCACTATTCACAATAGCAAAGACTTGGAACCAACCCAAATGTCCATCAATGATAGACTGGATTAAGAAAATGTGGCACATATACACCATGGAATACTATGCAGCCATAAAAAAGGATGAGTTCATGTCCTTTACAGGGATGTGAATGAAGCTGGAAACCATCATTCTTAGCAAACTATCACAAGGACAGAAAACCAAACACCGCATGTTCTCACTCATAGGTGAGAGTTGAACAATGAGAACATGGACACAGGGCAGGGAACGTCACACACTGGGGCCAGTTGGGGGTTGGGGGTCTAGGGGAGGAATAGCATTAGGAGAAACACTTAATGTAAATCTCAAGTTGATGGGTGCAGCAAACCAACATGGCACACGTATACCTATGTAACAAAACTGCACGTTGTTCACATGTACCCTAGAACTTAAAGTATAATTTATTAAAAAACGTCAAAAAGTAAATAAATAAAATAAAATAAATTGAAAAAATAAAACCTTTTTAAAAGAAAATTACAGTTTATTCCAAGTACTCTGATGATGTTTATGAAACTGGCCTTGTTTAAAACTGGCCTCCACTCACCTGAGTGGACACTGGCTAAAAGGGGGCTGTAGTGCTGCGGCAGCTGTCCACTTTCAGGTGGTGTCTTCATATTGTGCAGAGCCACGTATGCAGACACCACTCATAAACCAGGCCCTAGTCTTCTCTTCCTCTGTCAGCTGATCACAGGGAACTCCTCATGAGGCTGTCAGTGCAGGCTGGAGGGGAAAAAGCAGGATAGCAGGAGTGGGGACCATGGGCATTTGAACCACTTCCTCATGAAACCCACTTGTTTCCTCAGGACCTGCTGGAGCCCAATCACATATTTACCACTTCCATTTGATGACGGAATGGAATGCTGCTGCACAAGCCCAACTTTATGGTTAGATAGGTCAGAAAGCACCCAGTTCATGATAGGCAGTTCAAGTCACATGGTGACTTGATGACCCATAGTCAAACATTCAGTTTCTATCAAAGCCCGATAACAAGCCAAGAGGTGCATGTCGAAAGGAGGATGGTTATCTGCAGAAGATGGCAGGGCCCTGCTCCAAAATCCTAGAGACCTTTGCTGTAATTCATCTATGGGGGCCTGCCAAAGGCTCCAAATAGCATCCCTATCTGCCACTGACACCTCAAGCACCATTGGATCTGCTGGGTCATATGGCCCAAGTGGCAGAGCAGCTTGCACAGCAGTCTAGACCTGTTGCAGAGCCTTCTTCTGTTCTGGACCCCACTCAAAACTGGCAACATTTCGGGTCACTAGATAAATGGGCTGGAGTAACACACCCAAATGAAGAATATGTTGCCTCCAAAATCCAAATAGGCCCACTAGGTGTTGTGCCTCTTTCTTGGTGGTAGTAGGGGCCAAATGCAGCAACTTATCCTTCGCCTTAGAAGGCATATCTTGACAGGCCTCTCATCACTGGACCCCTAGAAATTTTACTGAGCTAGAAGGCCCCTGAATTTTAGTCAGATTTATTTCCCATCCCTTGGCACACAAATGTCTCATAAATAACTCCAGTGTGTTTGCTACTTCTTGCTCACTAGATCCAATCAGCATAGTGTAATCAATGTAACGGACCCATGTGATATCTTGTAGAAGGGAAAAGTGATCAAGATCTCTGCAAACAAGATTCTGGCACAAAGCCGGGGAGATGATATACCCCTGAGGCAGGACAGTGAAGGTATATTGCTGGCCTTGCCAGCTGAAGGCAGATTACTTCTGGTTGGTGTTATCGACAGGAATGGAGAAAAAAGCATTTGCCAAATCAGTGGCTGCATGCTAGGTACCAGGAGATGTGTTAATTTGCTCAAGTAATGAAACCACATCTGGTATAGTAGCTTCACTTGGAGTCACCACTTGGTTAAGCTTGTTATAATGTACTGTCATTATCCAAGATCTATCTGTCTTATGAACAGGACAAATAGGAGAGTCGAACAGGGATGTGGTGGGAATCACCACCCCTGAGTCTCTCAAGTCCTTGATGGTGGCACTAATCTTTGCAATCGCTCCAGGGATGGAATGTTGTTTTTGATTTACTATTTTTTCTAAGTAGATGTAGGTCTAAAGCTTCCATTTGGCCTTTCCCACCATAATGGCTCTCATCCTACCAGTCAGGGAGCCAATGTGGGGATTCTGCCAGCTGCTAAGTATGTCTATGCCAATTACACATTCTGGCACTGAGGAAATGACCACAGGATGAGCCCAGGGACCGACTGGACCCACTAAGTAGGACCTGAGCTAAAACTCCGTTAATTACCTGACCTCTGTAAGCCCCCGGTTTAACTGGAGGACCACAGTGACATTTTGGTCCCCTGGAATGAACATCAACTCAGATCCAGTGTACAATAATCCCCAAAAAGTCTGAACATTCCTCTTTCCCCATTGCACAGTTACTCTGGTGAAAGGTTGGAGGTCTTGTTGGGGAAGGATAGGAAAAAGATTAACATCATAATTTGTTGGTAATGTAGTGGGGTCCTTCCTCGAGTAGACCTGGCCTCCCCTTTATTCAAGGGGTTCTGGGTCTGTAAACTGGTTCAAGTCCTAAATTGATTGAAGGGCCATGATTCTCTATTTTTATAATTTAAATTATTCATTTGTCCACTCAACCTGGAAGTTTTCTACTTCTACAAATTAAGTAAGAATGCAGTAGGCTTCCTATCATTTTCGCTTCTAGGAATACCATGATTAATTAGCCAATGCCAGAGCTCTACATGAATCAGACTATTCTGATTGCTGCTTTGCCTCTTCTGTTCATTACGGTAGCTATGCCCACCTTGCCTTTGACAGTTGAGTGCTGCCACTTGGTCCCTGCCACCTCGGGATCCAATTATTCCCATTGCTTTTAAATTTTCTAATTGAGTGACTGTGGTTCCACTGTAAGATCTGGCATACAGAGAAGAGCAATCACAGAGCTCTTCAAGGATGCAGATGCTCCCTTCACAAATCTATTTCACGAAGTATTGGTGAAAGGTATGTGTTCTAGACCTTTCCAGCTGGGATGAGTAGATCTAAAGTGACTAATTCACTCTAGCATCCCTATGTTCCTAAGCCTTTGGATCTCTTCCTCTACATTAAACCAAGGGAGATCAGGCATTTTCAGCTCATTCACAGTGGGCCACCTTTTTATTCCTATTTCAGCTAACCAAGCAAATAAACTATTAGAACCTTTTTTAACTCCATGAGTTGCAACATTAAATGCAGAATCCCTGCATACTGGGCCCAAATCAATAAATTCAGCCTGATACAACTTTTCATTTCTTTCACCATTATTCCACACCCTTAATATCCATTCCCATGCCTGTTTCCTGATTTCTGCTTATATAAATTAGAAAACTCAAGCAGTTCTTTTGGGGAGTAGTGCACTGCCTTGTGGGTCACACTCTGAACCTCACCTCTTGAGGCCTGCCAGGACTTTGGTTACAGGTCTAGAAGCAAACAGGGGTGTTGGGGGTAGTTCCTGAGGAGAATCAGCATTATCTTGCCTGGCAACTGCCTCAAGAGAGGCCATCACTGTTGCCTCAGGCAGTGTATGGTTAATCACCTCAGTCAAAGGTGGCAAGACTGATGGCAGTGTGAGTGGAGGAGGGAATGTTGCCACCACTGGGGGCAGGGAGGCTGTTTCCTCTGGCAAGAAAGGCTTATCAGAGTTTACAAGCTTAGCGTCCCCAGCTTCATCAGGGTCCTCCCACATTTCCCCATTCCAAGATGCAGGGTCCCATTCTTTTCCAATCATTGCCCTTACTTTATCAGTAGACAGGTGGTGAGGCTGAGCATACACCTTTTGTTGTAGGTCAGCCACTTGCATGATAAGAGCTTGTGTCTGATTTCCCACATTTTCAGCCCTTTATCTACAGGAGATAAAACTCTTACTCAGGACAATGTTAGATGTGAGGCTTAGTTTGTGCTTCTGGAACCATGAGTTAGAATCCCTGAGTTCTTCCATCACTTTGTCCAGCGAACTTAAGAGCAACCAACCAACTTCATTACATTCCTTGGTTACCCACATATGGTTGAAGGTATTATGTATAGAGTCACTAAACTTCTTGACTCTTAAGAGCAGTGAATGAGGAATATCAAGTGCATTAATTTTGCATATCCCTCTAAACAGTTTATGCCAAGTTCTATCAGTGTTCTCCATAATATTAGAAGTAGAGTCCTTAGCATTTTGGGGTCCAATCATATTTAGCACCCAACTCCAGTAACCCCAAAACCAACTAAAGAAATCTATCTTTGAATTCTCTTCCTCTAGAACCACTTCTGGTACCAAAATCTGTATTAGGATTCTCTAGAGGTACAAAACCAGTAGGATAGATGGATCTATGAAGGGAAGTTTATTGAGTATTCACTCACATGACCACAAGGTGAAATTCCCTAATAGGTCATCTGTCTGCAAGCCGGAAGCCAGTCTGAGTCCCAAAACTTCAAAAGTAGGGAAACTGACAGTTCAGCCTTCAGTCTGTGGCTGAAGGCCTCATAGCCCCTGGAAAATTACTGGGGTAAGCCAAAGAGTCCAAAAGCTGTAGAACTTAGAGTCTGACCTTTAGTGACAGGAAGCATCCAGCATAGAAGAAAGATGAAGGCTGGAAGACTCTGCCAATCTGCTTTCTGCATTCTTCTGCCTGCTTGTATCCTAGCCATGCTGGCAGCTGATTAGATGGTGCCCACCCAGATTGAGGGTAGGTCTTCCTCTCCTAGTCCACTGACTCAAATATTAATCTCCTTTGGTGACACCCCCGGAAACAATATTTTGTATCCTTCACTCCATTAACCATCACACTGGTATTTTAAGAAACATTGAAAATAAAGAGTAAGGAAAATGTTACCTAAAGTGATCTACAGATTCGGTGAAATTCCTAACAAAACATCAATGACATTCTCCTTAGCAATAAAAAAAGAAAAAAGTCCCCAAATTTGTATGATGACACAAAGACCCCAAATAGCCAAAGCAATCTTGAGCAAATAGAACAAACATGTAGACATCACACTACCTGGCTTCAAAATATACTGCAAACTTATAGTAACTAAAACAGCATGGCATTTGCATAAAATCAGACACATAGAACAATGGAACAGAATAGAGAACCTAGAAATAAGTCCACAAATTGATTGTCAAGTCATTTTGACAAAGACACCATTAACATACTTTGGGTATTGGTACTTGGAAAACTGGATAATTGTATGCAGAAGAAAGAAACTAGACACCTATCTCTCACCACGTACAAAAATTGAGTCAAGGCCAGACGCGGTGGCTCACGCCTGTAATCTCAACACTTCGGGAGGCCAAGGCGGGCAGATCACTTGTGGTAAGGAGTTCAAGACCAGCGTGGCCAACGTTGGGAAACCCCATCTCTACTAAAAATACAAAAATTAGCCAGGTGTAGTGGTGGGCACCTGTAATCCAAGCTACTCGGGAGACTGAAACAGGAAAATCACTTAAACCGAGGAGGCAGAGGTTTCAGTGAGCTGAGATCACGCCACTGCACTCCAGCCTGGGTGACAGAGCGAGACTCCATCTCAAAAAAAAAATAAAATATTTGAGTCAAAATGGCTTAAATATTTAAATCTAAGACCTGAAACTATGAAAATACTAGAAGAAAATATTGGAAAAACACCTCAGGACATTGGTCTGGGAAAGCACATTTTGGGTTTAGACCTCAAAAGCACAGGTAACAGGAGCAAAAATATAGAAATGGGATTACATCAAGCTAAAGAGCTTCTGCAGAACAAAGGAAACAATCAACAGAATGAAGAGACAACACACAGAATAGGAAAAAATATTTGAAGATTATTCATCCAGCAAGAAAATAACAACCAAAATACTTAAGGAACTCAAACGACATCAATAGCAAAAAGTCACAAATAATTTGATTTTAAAAATTTGAAATGATTGAATAGACATCTCTCAAAAAAAAGATATCCAAATGGTCAACAGGTATGTGACAATTACTCAGCATCATTAATCATAAGGGAAATGCAAATCAAAACCACAATGAAATATCATCTCACCCCCGTTAAGATAGCCACTATCAAAAAGACAAAAAACAACATATGCTGGCAAGGATGTAGAAAAATGAAAAGACTGGTAGTACACTGTGGGTTGGAATGTAAATTAGTACAGCCACTATGGAAAACAGAGTGGAGGATCCTCAAAAAAAAATAAAACTAGATTTACCATATGATCTAGAAATCTCACCACTGAGTATATATCTAAAAGAAGATCGGTATATTGAAGAGATATCTGCACTCCCATATTTATTGCAGCACTGTTCACAATAGCCAAGATATGTAATTGGTTGACTTCATAATTGTTCATTAATAGATGAATGGATAAAGAAACATGGTATATATGCACAATAAATTGTTATTCAGCCATAAAGAAAAGAGTGAAATCCCATCACTGGAGGTCATTATATTAAGTGAAAAAAGCCAGGCATGGAAAGACTAATATGGTTTGTTCTTCCTCATATGCATGAGCCAAAAAATATTGATCTCACAGACATAGGGAGTAGAGTGATAGTTACCAGAGGCTGAGAGGGGTGGGAGGGCGCAGAAAAGAAAATGAAGAGAGACTGGCATTTATACATATATATGGTTAGATAGAAGAAACAAGTTCTAGTGTTTGATAGCACAGTAGGGAGATGATAGTTAAAAATAATTTATTGTATACTTCAAAATAACTAAAACATAAGCTTTAGAATGTTCCCAACACAAAGACATAAATATTTGGTGTGATGGATATTCTAATTACCTTGAATTGATCATTACACATTATATACATATATCAAAATATCACATGTACCCCATAAATATGTACAATTGTTATGTATCAGTTACAAATTGACAAAACATTTAAAAATATGCCAGGCACAAAAAGACAAATACCATATAGACTCATTTATATGCAGAATTTAAAACAAACTCAGAAACCAGAAACAAAGAGTAGGAGGGCTGGGGGATGTTGGAAATGAGATGTTGGTCAAAGAGGACCAAGTTGCAGTTAGACAGGAGAAATATGTTTTTGGAAAGCTATTCCACAGCACGGTGACTATAGTTAATAATAATGTATTTTATATTTCAAAATTGCTAAGAGGATAGATTTCAAATGTTCTTACCACAAAAATAATACATATTTGGGGTAATGGATCTATTAGTTAGCTTGATTTAATCCTTCCAGTTTGTATGCATACAATATAATTTGTCAATTTACAATTAATTATAAGCACAGTGCTTATTTTTTCTTTTCCTATTTTGATGATGAAATATCTGAAGTCATGAATTTACCTATAAACATAATTTCTGATTTAACAGTAGCCCATCTTGGGGATACTGTTTTCATATCAATTACTTTCAAAATGTTGTTAATGTATTTTGTATTTATTTTCTGTCTCCATGTTTTATTTAAGAGAATATTCATTAGCTTCTTAATATTGGGCCTTTCTTTTTCTATCTCAGATTAGTAATTTTTGTTTTATATGATTTCTCATATCTCTTTAACTCAATATATAATTAACGTTAAAAAAGTAAATTTGTATCTATCAAAAAAGAGAGTACAGAGAGATTCACTATATGTGTAGAAATAGCCTCACAAAATTTGATCTCTGTTAATTAGCCTCACAAAATTTGATCTCTGTTAATTAGAAAAAGAATAGTCTCTGGGTTTTCCAAAGTTGTTCTGCCTTTAGCAATCATTTGCGGAAAGCAAGCCAATACATACATAAACAGATATTTCCCCCTATGATTTACTTTGCCATTGTTATATTTTTATGAAAGATCATCTCATAACTGTAGGATTAACTAAGTTCATCAAGGTGATTAAGAGCTTGGCATTTGGATTTCATCCTAGCTTTGCTATTTGATTTTGTGACCTTGGAAAAATTAACTTTATCTCTCTGAAGTCAATAAATATTTTTTTCTGTAAAACTGGATAATGGTAGCACACACATCCAGCAGCCTATGCTGATATCAAAGTAGTCAGCCTGGGGTGAGCTGGTCCATTGGTATATAAGGTGCTGAGCAGAATATAAGCATGTTATTTTTTGGCTCTTATGTATGGCCTCATGTGAATACTGTTACTATAAAACTTAATTGTGCTTCATACTCAAACCAGTTCTCTTTTGGGGTAAAACTGACTTTTGAAAGAAATCAGACAGCTATGAAAACATTAATTTTGAAATGAGAATTTACATTTCTTTGTGTATATTTTTCAAGAAAATTCAGAATCATTTTAATACTCCAACTTAGTCACTCCTAAAACGAATGATCGCAAATAGGTTGACAACTGATAAATAGTTTCAAAAGTCAGATAAGAATTTCTTGTGTTAAATATTTACGCCGACAAAAATATTCATAGATTTGAAAATTACTTACTAAATATTAAATACCATGTTTTCTCAATAGTGAGAGTTTTTTTCCATTTTTAACATAAATTTCTAAAAAGTTTATTATTATTACATATTGTAATCAACATGCATTTATTGTATGGCTTTGTTTGTTTATTAAATTAGGATAATAAAATTGGGGTGGTTGAGGGTTCAGACTCTGGAGCCAACATTTACTAATGCCTTTGATTCCTTGTCTGTAAAATGGGCAAAATATAACTGTTACTATGTTAATGTATTTAGTATATGTAAAGTACTTGGAACAATACTTAGTGAAAGATAACGCATATTGAATGTAAGATATTTTTGTCATTGTTTATAATACCAAGATTTCTGCCTCCCATCACTTAGATCATAATATAATTGGATGATGAATATTATTTGTACAGAGGAATCTTTTAAAATAATTTTACCTGTTTTATTCTATTTAATACTCCTTATAATTGATATCATTCTGTTCCGTTTCTCAAATAAGAAAAATATAGGCTCAGAAAAGTTTAGTGAACTGATCAATGTCACAAAACTCTTACATTTCAGAAGCAGTTCCTTAAAACATGTTGTTTCTTCTTTTACTCAGGTCACAACTCACAGCCCTATTAACTCCTATTTATTTTCCTTTATACAAATAAATGTTTTATGCAAGAGATACTGGATTTTGTTACTGAAGCATCTTATGCACCTTGTTTAATTCCACAGGATAGGAATTGATATGGTTTGGCTGTGTCCCACCCAAATCTCATCTTGAATTGTAGTTCCCATAATTCTCAAGTGTCATGAGAGGGACCTAGTAGGACGTAAGTGAATCATGGGGGCAGTGACCCTCATGCTGTTCTCATGATAGTGAGTGAGATCTCATGAGATCTGATGGTTTTATAAGGGGATTTTCCCCCTTTGCTTTGCGCTTATCTCTCCTGCCGCCTTGTGAAGAATGTGTTTGCTTCCCCTTCTGCCATGATTGTAAGTTACCTGAGGTCTTCCAGCCATGCGGAACTGTGAGTCAGTTAAAACTCCTTCTGTTATAAATTAACCAGTCTCGGGTATTTCTTCATAGCAGTGTGAGAAGGGAATAATACAGTAATGTTGCCATCTTGTCAGCTCCTGAGATTCATTCCCAAGTGTGTCAATTGTTGTAATGTTAGAGTTTGAGATTTGTAAATTCCCTGTTAGTAAATATATTTTGTCAAGTCTCTCACCCTTCCTGCTGATTTGTCAGTTAATTTTCCTCTTCTGATAAATAGCAAATATTCAAGATATTTTACACATTTAAAAAAGCCTCTAGAGAGAGACAGATGTTCACAATATTACTCAATTAAGAACACAGAGGCCATGCGATTGTGTTAAAAATAGCATTTGGGATAATATGAAAAGATGATAAGGTTTGTTATTTCCACATCCACATCACTTGCCATGTTTCTCTCAGGGAGTTTAGATCAAAACAAAGCAATATTTTTTATTTTTCTGTACCTCATATATTAAGCCTAAATACCTGGCTCTAAAATGATTTCTCCAAATTAACACTTGGTAATTCTGGGTTTTCAGGAATTTATAATATATTTTAACCACATTAAAATTATGTTCTCAACTGTCAGTAGCAATTCAAATATACTGTGACACTGTTTTTCCTCCTCTCCTATTTTTAGATCTTGGTTGCCTGAGTTTAGGTAGAAGTCAGTATATTCAATGAATCATATGTTCAGCCAGAGCCTGAATATGGGACATAATATGTGCTTAAAGAATGTCCATTCTTAATGGGAGGGTTCTTCTAGGCTTCAGTATTTAATATGTGGCTCTTATAGTGACACAGTTCCCTTGGCTTAAATTTCAAATGAGATATTTGAGGCAATCCATTCACTGGGCAGCTTCATTGGCTTTAACCAAATAACATCAAATCATTTTGGATGTAATGTGTTATACATAAATGATACTTTTAAAAAAAATGATAGGTAGCTATATAGGTATGTGGGTGAGAAGATGGATAGGTGAACGGATTGATGAAGAGAGAGCCAACACAACTTTGGCGTGTATTTTAGTTTTTCAGTGAAATCTTTTCACCTACATGATAATTCCAGGGAAGATCACTAGCTAAAGATAATTTTGATGCACCAATTGCTCTGTTATTCTAACAATATTATATCGCACCATTTTGCTAAAGGTACAGAATCCACTGAACACTTTGTTGGACAGTATTCCTGTTTGTCACCACAAAGTGGTACATTTCAGTGACATAAAAATCAGAGGAAGGTTACCAAATAATTCACCATCTTTAATAGATTTTGCTACCACTCTTTCATTATATAAGTGTTTTCATTTATGAAAAGGATTCTCATATTATGTAGTTGACTTTATTACCTTTTTCTGAGTTCCAGTCATCTATTTTATTCTCCTCATGGGAACTCAGTGAACATATTTGCTGGTGTGTAAATCCTAGTGGAGATGCCCTATTTATTGAGTGTTGCCTGAATGTTTTATGCCAAAAGGGTTTCATCTAGTCTTGTTGCTCTACTGTGATATTTTAATATTCTTAGAGTAGAGATATAGATGGCTCAAGCCACAAGGGTGCTCAAACATACAGTAATCATTTCCCCCATCAAAGCCGCTTTAATTTGGCTCTTCCATTAACTGGGGAAATAATATTTGAGGATTATAGAAATTTTATTCCAATCTCATAAAAGAAATTTTGCAAGTATAAATGTCAACTTTAGTAGCTCTGGCTTAGTTTAACTATAGAGTTTCACATTTGTGATTTAGATACATTATGAAAGGTGAGATTTAAGATGAATTATAGGTGCTTCCTAGGTAATATTTATTTTCCATTGAGGCACCTTGCCTTTATACTTAGAAGTATGAACTATGGTCTTAATTTTTCACGTATCAGTTAAAAATAATTTCCAGTAAATGATTAGTTCTCAAAGTATGGTTCATGGACTAGTAGCATCAGCTTCACCAGGAAACTTAGAAATCCAAATTTCTTGGACCCAACTCAGACATCCTAATCAGAAACTTCATGATTGGGGCCCAGCAATCTGACTTTTGTTTTCTTGTCTTGTATAAAGACAGGGTCTCAATCTGTCACCTAGGCGGGAGTTCAATGGTATGATCACAGCTCATCGCAGCCTCAAACTGCTGGCCTCAAGTGATCCTTTCACCTCAGCCTCATATGTAGCTAGGACTACAGAAGTGTGCCACCATACTCGGCTAATTTTCTAATTTTTTGTAGATATAGGGTCTTACTATATTTCCCAGGTTGGTCTCTAACTCCTGGCCTCAAGTGATCCTCCAAGGAGCTAGGATTACATGTGTGAGCTGCTGTATCTATCCTGCAGTCTGTTTTTTAAACTGTCTAGTTAACTTTGATGCTACTAGAGTTTGAGAATCACTTTAATAAATCATCTAACTTACCAAAGAAAAATTGGGTATGAGACTTGACATGATTAAATTGCCTAAATGTACTGTTCAATTCCACAGAATACTTGTTAGACATCACCATCAAATAATTTAATATAAGATACTATACCATGACAGAGGCAACACACAGAATAGGTATTCAAAAATACTTGTTGAGTGAATGAATGAATTCTGTGCAGTTCATTTAGTTCATTTAGGCTTTACAGTGGTAGTATAATTTCAGTATTCTAAAAATGATCCAAAATGAAGCATATTTGAATATTGTTATCTGTGTCTAAGGGAAGTGTTAATACATTGCAAATTTCTTTTAAAATGTTCATAAATTTAAATCTATCTGTGAATTCAAGGTATGTGGATACCTTAGCTTATAAAAGACACATAAAATATCTACAAAGCATATAGTGTGAAAAATACAATTAAATTGCAGCAATTGATCTAGTTCTAAACTTGGTTGTTACAAGTTATAAGCAGTTTCCCTAGATCCTTAGATAATCCAGAAAAATAAAAATACTTACTTTATATATTTAATGGAGTTATTATAAAGGTCTGTTATACTTAAAAACAAATTCTAAATTTTAACACATGAGTGCTAGTTCACTGGGCCATTAAATTACCACTTTACTTTTTTTTAATTTAACAGCTTTATTGAGCTGAAATTACACATATAAAATATGCACAGCTTGGTAAGATTTTACATATTTGCACATCAGTGAAATCATTACTACAACCAAAATAATGATTAAATCCTTCAACACCCAGTTTTTCTTGTTGAAAAGATTGCTTTGTAATCCCTCACTCCTTGCCTCCTCTACCTGACCTAGTCCCCAGGACACTGTTTCGCTTTTCAGTACTATACATAAATTTGTGTATCCTCAAAATCTGTATAAATAGAATCATGCAGTATGTATTGGGTTTTTTGGGAGAGAGGACTCTGGAGGAGTCTGACTTCTTTCACTCAACATAATTATTTGAATATTTATCCATGTTCTGTATGTGTAAATAGGTCACTTCTTTTTATTGCAGAATAGTATTCCATTGTATGGCTATATTACAGGTTCTTTGTTCATTGATGTGATGAACAAATTTAGGTTGTTCCCAGGTTTGGTTTCTTTCCAAGTTTGGCTCTTACAAATAAAACTGCTGCAAATGTTAGTGTAGAAGTCTTTGTATGGGTACAGATATTTCTTTCTCTTGGGTAATTAACTATGATTTGAATGGCTGAATCATATGACAGATATATGTTGGATTCTTTAGAAATTGTGAGATTGTTTTCCAAAGTAGTTGTATCATTTTATATTTCCATCAACAATGTATGGAAGTTCTTTCATATTAGCACCAGTATTTGATATAGTCATTCTTTTTAATGTAAACAATTCTATTAGGTAGGTAGCAGTATCATTTTATGAGATATATGCTTTGGAAATATTTTCTTCCTTCCTGGGCCTTGTCGTTTTATCCACTTGAGCAGAAATTTTAATTTTGATGAAGATCAATTTATCACTGTATTAGAGTTTCCTTTTATGACCTGGCTTTTCATTTCATATCTAAGAAATATTTTCCTAACCCAAAGTCATGAAAGTTTCCTCCTATGTCTTCTTTTAGAAGTTTTATAGTTTTATGTTTTAAATTAAAGTATGGAATCTATTTTTAGTTAATTTTTATATATGGTGTGATATAAATTGAAATTATTTTTATTTTTCCTTTCCTTCTCTCCCTCTTTTTCTCTCTCCCTTCCTTTCTTTCTTCCTTGTTATCTTCCTTTAATTCCTTCTCCTTCTTCTTCTCCCTCTTTTGCATATACATATGAAATATTTCTAAAACCTTTTAAAAAGACTATTCTTAACATTTTTAGATGCTATTGTAACTGGTATTTTAATTGTATTTTTCAATTGTTCATTGCCACTATATGATCTTTTATATATTGATCTTTTATCCTTTACCCTTGCCAAACTTATCTATTGGTAGCTTTTATATAGATTCCATTGGATTTTCTACACAGTTGAGAGTCATCTGTGAATAAAGACTTATTTTCTAACCTGAATGGCTTTTTTCTTTTTCTTGCCTGATTTCCCTGGCAATGTTGATTAGAAGTGTTAAAACCAAAAATCTTTATATAATCTCTTGTCCCACTAAGTATGATATTAGCTATAGAATTTTTGAAGATGCTCTTGAAAAAAATAAGGAATTTTCATTTTTTCTAGATTGGAAAGTACTTTTTTTAAAAATTAGGAATGGATATTGGATATTTTCAAATGTTTCATCAGCATCTTGAGATGATCAGAATGTTCATATGGTTTCTCTTGTTTAGATTGTTAATATGGTGAGTTACATTGCCTATTTTTCAAATTGTAAACAACTTTGCATTTCTAGGACAACCGTCCCTTGTTCAACCTTTTTATACAACTGTTGGCTTCTTTTTTTTTTTTATTATTATACTTTAAGTTTTAGGGTACATGTGCACAATGTGCAGGTTAGTTACATATGTATACATGTGCCATGCTGGTGTGCTGCACCCATTAACTCGTCATTTAGCATTAGGTATATCTCCTAATGCTATCCCTCCCCTCGTCCTCCCACCTCACAACAGTCCCCAAAGTGTGATGTACCCCTTCCTGTGTCCATGTGTTCTCATTGTTCAATTCCCACCTATGAGTGAGAACATGCGGTGTTTGGTTTTTTGTCCTTGCGATAGTTTGCTGAGACTGATGATTTCTAATTTCATCCATGTCCCTACAAAGGACATGAACTCATCATTTTTATAGGTGCATAGTATTCCATGGTGTATATATGCCACGTTTTCTTAATCCAGTCTATCATTGTTGGACATTTGGGTTGGTTCCAAGTCTTTGCTATTGTGAATAGTGCCGCAATGAACATACGTGTGCATGTGTCTTTATAACAACATGATTTATAGTCCTTTGGGTATATACCCAGTAATGGGATGGCTGGGTCAAATGGTATTTCTAGTTCTAGATCCCTGAGGAATCGCCACACTGACTTCCACGATGGTTGAACTAGTTTACAGTCCCACCAACAGTGTAAAAGTGTTCCTATTTCTCCACATCCTCTCCAGCACCTGTTGTTTCCTGACTTTTTAATGATCGCCATTCTAACTGGTGTGAGATGGTATTTCATTGTGGTTTTGATTTGCATTTCTCCTGATGGCCAGTGATGGTGAGCATTTTTTCATGTGTTTTTTTGGCTGCATAAATGTCTTCTTTTGAGAAGTGTCTGTTCATGTCCTTCGCCCACTTTTTGATGGGGTTCTTTGTTTTTTTCTTCTAAATTTGTTTGAGCTCATTGTAGATTCTGGATATTAGCCCTTTGTCAGATGAGTAGGTTGCGAAAATTTTCTCCCATTTTGTAGGTTGCCTGTTCACTCTGATGGTAGTTTCTTTTGCTGTGCAGAAGCTCTTTAGTTTAATTAGATCCCATTTGTCCATTTTGCCTTTTGTTGCCATTGCTTTTGGTGTTTTAGACATGAAGTCCTTGCCCATGCCTATGTCCTGAATGGTAATGCCTACGTTTTCTTCTAGGGTTTTTATGGTTTTAGGTCTAACGTTTAAGTCTTTAATCCATCTTGAATTAATTTTTGTATAAGGTGTAAGGAAGGGATCCAGTTTCAGCTTTCTACATATGGCTAACAAGTTTTCCCAGCACCATTCATTAAATAGGGAATCCTTTCCCCATTGTTCGTTTTTCTCAGGTTTGTCAAAGACCAGATAGTTGTAGATATGCGGCATTATTTCTGAGAGCTCTGTTCTGTTCCCTTGATTTATATCTCTGTTTTGGTACCAGTACCATGCTGTTTTGGTTATTGTAGCCTTGTAGTATAGTTTGAAGTCAGGTAGCATGATGCCTCCAGCTTTGTTCTTTTAGCTTAGGATTGACTTGGCGATGCGGGCTCTTTTTTGGTTCCATATGAAGTTTAAAGTATTTTTTTCCAATTCTGTGAAGAAAGTCATTGGTAGCTTGATGGGGATGGCATTGAATCTATAAATTTCTTTGGGCAGTATGGCCATTTTCACGATATTGATTCTTCCTACCCATGAGCATGGAATGTTCTTTCGTTTGTTTGTATCCTCTTTTATTTCACTGAGCAGTGGTTTGTAGTTCTCCTTGAAGAGGTCCTTCACGTCCCTTGTAAGTTGGATTCCTAGATATTTTATTCTCTTTGAAGTAATTGTGAATGGGAGTTCACTCATGATTTGGCTCTCTGTTTGTCTGTTATTGGTGTATAAGAATGCTTGTGATTTTCATACATTGATTTTGTATCCTGAGACTTTGCTGAAGTTGCTTATCAGCTTAAGGAGATTTTGGGCTGAGACAATGGGGTTTTCTAGATATACAATCATGTCATCTGCAAACAGGGACAATTTGACTTCCTCTTTTCCTAATTGAATACCCTTTATTTCCTTCTCCTGCCTAATTGCCCTGGCCAGAACTTCCAACACTATGTTGAATAGGAGTGGTGAGAGAGGGCATCCCTGTCTTGTGCCAGTTTTCAAAGGGAGTGTTTCCAGTTTTTGCCCATTCAGTATGATATTGGCTGTGGGTTTGTCTTAGATGGCTCTTATTATTTTGAGATATATCCCATCAATACCTAATTTATTGAGAGTTTTTAGCATGAAGTGTTGTTGAATTTTGTCAAAGGCCTTTTCTGCATCTATTGAGATAATCATGTGGTTTTTGTCTTTGGTTCTGTTT
Organism: Homo sapiens; assembly: GCF_000001405.40. Classification (NCBI taxonomy): domain Eukaryota; kingdom Metazoa; phylum Chordata; class Mammalia; order Primates; family Hominidae; genus Homo; species Homo sapiens. Next base: position 62,106,819 of record NC_000006.12, on the reverse strand, counting down.
ATATGCTGGATTACATTTATTGATTTGTGTATACTGAACCAGCCTTGCATCCCAGGGATGAAGCCCACTTGACCATGGTGGATAAGCTTTTTGATGTGCTGCTGGATTCCGTTTGCCAGTATTTTATTGAGGATTTTTGCATCAATGTTCATCAAGGATATTGGTCTAAAATGTCTCTGCCCGGCTTTGGTATCAGGATGATGCTGGCCTCATAAAATGAGTTAGGGAGGATTCCCTCTTTTTCTATTGAATGGAATAGTTTCAGAAGGAAAGGTACCAGTTCCTCCTTGTACCTGGTAAAGGGATCAATTCACCAAGAATAGCTAACTATCCTAAATATGTATGCACCCAATACAGGAGCACCCAGATTCATAACAGAAGTCCTGAGTGACCTACAAAGAGACTTAGACTCCCACACAATAATAATGGGAGACTTTAACACCCCACTATCCACATTAGACCGATCAGCGAGACAGAAAGTTAACAAGGATCCCCTGGAATTGAACTCAGCTCTGCACCAAGCAGACCTAATAGACATCTACAGAACTCTCCACCCCAAATCAACAGAATATACATTTTTTTTCAGCATCACACCACACCTATTCCAAAATTGACCACATAGTTGCAAGTAAAGCTCTCCTCAGCAAATGTAAAAGAACAGAAATTATAACAAACTGTCTCTCACACCACAGTGCAATCAAACTAGAACTCAGGATTAAGAAACTCACTCAAAACTGCTCAACTGCATGGAAACTGAACAACCTGCTCCTGAATGACTACTGGGTACATAACGAAATGAAGGCAGAAATAAAGATATTCTTTGAAACCAACGGGAACAAAGACACAACATACCAGAATCTCTGGGACACATTCAAAACAGTGTGTAGAGGGAAATTTATAGCACTAAATGCCCACAAGAGAAAGCAGGAAAGATCCAAAATTGACACCTTAACATCACAATTAAAAGAACTCGAAAAGCAAGAGCAAACACATTCAAAAGCTAGCAGAAGGCAAAAAATAACTAAAATCAGAGCAGAACTGAAGGAAATAGAGACACAAAAAACCCTTCAAAAAATTAATGAATCCAGGAGCTGGTTTTTTGAAAGGATCAACAAAATTGATAGACCGCTAGCAAGACTAATAAAAAAGAAAAGAGAGAAGAATCAAATAGACACAATAAAAAATGATAAAGGGGATATCACCACCAATCCCACAGAAATACAAACTACCATCACAGAATACTACAAACACCTCTACGCAAATAAACTAGAAAATCTAGAAGAAATGGATAAATTCCTCGACACATACACCCTCCCAAGACTAAACCAGGAAGAAGTTGAATCTCTGAATAGACCAATAACAGGCTCTGAAATTGTGGCAATAATCAATAGCTTACCAACCAAAAAGACTCCAGGACCAGATGGATTCACAACTGTTGGTTCCTATTAACTAAAATTTTGTTTAGAAATGTTGAATTTATGTTCATAAGGGATATTTGTGTGAATTTTCTTTTTCTGTTTGTGATACCAGAGTAATGCCAGCCTGTTTGAATGAGATGGGTGTTTCTTGCCCTACTTCAACTTTTTGGAAGAATTGGTGTAGAATTAGCATTACTTCTATTTTAAGTGTTTGATAGAATTCACTATTGAAGCCATCTTGACTTATTTTTTGAGAAAATGTTTAACTAAAAGCTCATTTTTTTAATGATATAGGACTGTACAAATGATCATTTTCTTCCTGTTGAGAATGGTTGTTTGTTTTTCAATGAATTTGTCCACGTTTTCTGTTTTCAATTTACAGACACAGCATTGTTTATGATATTCTCTTATTTTCCTTTAAATGTCTCTAGAATCTATAAGGATGTCATTTCTTTCACTTCTGTTACTGGTAGTTTTTATCTTTCCTTTTCTTTCATTACAAGTCTCACAGAAGGCTTATAAATTTTATTGATCTTCTCTAAGAACTACTGTTGTGTTAATTTTACTCTATTATTATCTATTCATTTATTGTAACTTATTATTTATTTCATTTATTGTAACTACGAATTTTTAAAGTGATAATATTTAATTTGTTCTTTTTTTTCAACTTCTTAATTTGTAACCTGAGGTCATTGATTTGAGAACTTTCTGTTTTATTATAGGCATGTATTGCCATCCCTTATCCTTATGGATTGTTTTGGTGATATGCCACAAATTCTGATTTTTTGAGTTTTGATTTTCCTTCAGTTTAGAATACATTTTTATTTCTCTTTTGATTATGTTTTTACTCATATGTTATTTAGAAATGTATTATATACTTTTCAAGTATTTGGGAATAATCAAGATTTTTTTAATTACTGATACCCAATTTTATTCCATTATGGTAATAGAACATAACGATGCATGACTTGAATGATTTCAAATATACCTAATGCTAGATGACGAGTTAGTGGGTGCAGTGCACCAGCATGGCACATGTATACATATGTAACTAACCTGCACAATGTGCACATGTACCCTAAAACTTAAAGTATAATTAAAAAAAAAAGACTTATTTAATGATAAAAAGATGGTCTAGTTTGTGTAAATGTTCTAGGTACACTGGAGAGAATGTGTATATGCTGTTTTTGAATAGAGTGTTCTAAAGATATCAATAAGGTCAACATAATTGAAAGTTTTGTTTAAGTCTTTTATACCTTACTGATATTCTAAATTGTTAGTGCTTTTGTTTAAACAGCAATCATTTAAAGTAATTTAAGCAATAAAAATCCTATATATTTTTCTATAAGGTTATCATTATTTCTGTGTTCTTCAGCCCCTTATGTATATCTGTATTTCCCTCTGGTATCATTTTTCTTTTCCATGGTCATCCTTTATGACCTTATGTTTCTTATAGTAAAGATCTGTTGTTGATTAATATTTTCTGCTTTTGTGTCTAAAATGACTTTATTTCACATATATTTTTAGTGCTATTTCACTTTTAATAGAATTATAGGCTGACAATTTTATTTCTTTCACTACTGGTATCAGTCTTGTTTCATTGTTTCTGATGAGAAAACTGCTGTTGATGGCAGCAGCAGCCTGCCTGGAGGGGCCACTGCAAGGTCGCCAGCTGTAGTGGGAGAGACATGGCTGGGGCTTGTACTCTCTGCAGAGCCACAGGGAGCCAGGAACAGGTGATTCCAGAGGGAGCCCCATTGTTGGGGTGGAAGCCTGCGCTCCTGGGCGCAGCTGCTTCTGCCTGGTTCTGGACCCAGACCAGACATCCTGGTGCTCTCAGAGGTGGGGGTGGGGGGCGGGAAGCTCCCTGCTTTCGCAGGCTAAGAAGTGCCTGTTGCCATTCCCTGTCCTCTCTCTGCTCCCAGTGCCCACTCCATGCAGAACAACATTGTGACCAAGCCCAGGCACTGTGGCAGCCCAGCCAGTGTGCATGCTGGGGACAGTTCTGACATGTCATACCCTCACTGCCCTCTGGACTTTGGGTGCTGATTAGCATGAGCGACAGGCCAGGGGGCTGAAGGCTGTTCCCCTTCACGTGGACAACCGGGGCCCAGCAGACTACATGTTGATCTCAGCAAGAGGCAGACAGGTTTCTAGGTGGGAGGGGACAGGTCCTTGGTGAAACCCCATCTTCAAGTCAGGGATGACTGGAAGCCTGGAAGCTGGGCTGCAAGTTCTGGGTGAAGTCTGCAACCAGGAGTGAGAACTTCATTGATGCCTTTTGGCTGGTTGGATGGTACTTTTTCCAGGCCTTCCCATGGCTGTCCATGGACCAATCAGCATGCATTTTCTCCATTTTGAGCTCATAAAAACCCCAGACTCAGTCAGAATCAGGTACAACTGCCTGTGGAAGGGAGGTACACACTTCGGATCTCTTGAGAGCTGTGTCGCTCAATAAAGTTCCTCTCTGCCATGCTCACCCTCCAGTTGTCCATGTAACCTCATTCTTCCTGGATGTGGCACAAAAAATTTGGGACCCACCAAACATTGTGAGCAAAAGGAGCTGTTAACACATTCCTTACTGGGTGGCTGAGCTGCAAGCAGTGACACACTCCCAGATTGCAGGAGTGAAGAGTGGTGACCCTTCTGGGGGCCCATATCTTGGGGTTTCCCAAGCCAGAGTTGCTATAACACTATAGTCTTCCCACCCTCTGCTGGTGCCTGGCAGCCACCCCATGTGACAGGAATTAGTGTTGTCAGGGCCAGGCCAGCCCAGGAGCCGTGGGCCAGAGTCAGGCAGCAGGACTGAAAGAGTGTAACAGAAACGGGCCGAAACACACATTTCCTGCCACCCCACTCATCATTCTGTGGCAGCAAGGAGAGAAGAGCTTCAGCCCTCTGGGGCCGAGACCTCGGGGCTCCCCATGTCTGGAGTGTGACATGCTGTAACACCCTCTTTGGGGCTCTGCAATCCCTGGTGTCTCTGAGGTTTTGGGTGCCATTGAATTGCCTGGTGCCTGCAGTGGAAGCCACTTGCAGTACTCCTGGTCCAGCCATAGCTGGAACTATAAGTCAGTTGACCCTGTTTCCTTTATAAATTACCCAGTCTTGGGTATTTCTTCATAGCAATGTGAGAAGAGACTAATACAATATGTAATGCGTTAACAACTCAACTATCATATGAAACCCTCTAATTATATTTAAAAACTTTGGGTTTATTCTTAAAGGATCCTGAATTTTCAAGTCCTATTAAATAATTACCATTAGAATATAGTTCATTATTATTGTTTTATAAATGGAAAAATAAACATAGAAAAAATGATTTAGTTATTGTAATCAAAGAATGTTGCTTATTACCTGAAACAATGACATAACTAGTGTATTTGCTTACATTTAAAGTCTTATAGACTTAAGGAAAAAGATCCACAGATATGAGTAAACTTCATGGTAGAGTTGTAATACTTGTTTGTGCATTTTAAAGACTGTGAGAAGACCATGTTATGTTAATATAATTGTTTCTTTGAATTTTTGAAGATGTGTACAATAAAAGAATGATGCAGAAATAAAGAAGAAAGTCATGTGGTATTTGCATTGAATTTTAGGTCTTTAAGAATAAATGTTCATATACAAAAATTAACATTCCTATATCTATCTCCAAAACTGAATTACTGATCATCTATCCATTCTCTAATTTCCTTTACTTATGTTTCTTTCATTTGTTTAGACCAAAACATCTTTGATACCTGTTTCCCTCATGCTCCATATCCATCACTCAGTATATCCAGCTAGCTCTACCTAGAGTACATATCCAGAATCCTACTATTCTTCCCTGGCTGACACTCTTGTCTGAGCCTCTGTCATCTCTTGCCAAGATTATTGCAGTGACCTAAACCATCTCTTTGCTTTCCTCCTTGTACCTTGACATATATTCACAACACAGCAGTCAAAGTGATCTGTTAAACTGGAGTTTTTCCTACCTCTACGTAAATCCTGTGGAGGTCTCCATTTTACCCCATGAAATCCAAGACCTTGCAGTTACTTAGAAAGCCCTACATAATCTGTTTTAAGCTCAGTCAACTCCTTTGAGTTTGCAGCATCCACTGCTGCAAAACTGTGGATGTTGATATCTTGTAATATAACCTGAGATTGACCATAGCATCTAGGTAGGAAAAAAAAAGATTTTAGGACAAGTTTATCATAGGTATAAACTTGGAGATTTTGATTGTGCAAGCCTAGATTTTCATACCTTGCGTGTTTTATTCTCTTCATATTATAAATAAAAAACAACTGCCTGAACATTTTAAACTCAAGGCCACATTATGAATGAGCTATAATGCTTGTCTTGCTGTAAAAAAGAGTTTAAAATTCATGCTCCTGCAGATACTAGAGATAGATTTTCTGCCTGTAAAACTATTGGAGGACTGCTCTGAGTGTTGAATGTTTATTCTCATCAATTTGCTATTTTTTGTAAAAATCTATAGCTGTAATACAATAGCTTTCATCTCTTTCTTTAGTCTGCAAGTATAGGCATACCTCAGAGATGTTATGGGCTTGGTTACAGACCACCACAATAAAATGAATATTGTACTAAAGTCACACAAATTATCTGGTTTCCCAGTGCATATAAAAGTTAGGTTTATGCTACACTATAGTCTATTTAAGTATAAAGTATTATTTCTAAAAAATGTACATATGTTAATTATAAAATAAATTATTGATAAAAATGCCAATGATTTCCTGAACCTTCAGTGAGTCAGTCTTTTTGCTGGTTAGGGTCTTGACTTGATCTTGATGGCTGCTGACTGAAAACGGTAGTGGTTGCTGAAGGTTAGAGTGGTTGTGGTAATTTTGTAAAAGACAACACAATAATGTTTGCCACATCGCTTGCCTCTTCCTCTTATGAAATGTTTCTCTGTAGCATGTGATGCTGTTTGATAGCATTTTACTCACAGTAAAACTTCTTTTGAAATTGGAGGAAGTTCCCTCCAACCTACTATGTCTTTATCAACTAAATTTATGTAATATTATGAATCCTTTGTTGTCATTTCAACAATGTTCACAGAATCTTCATCAGGAATAGATTTCAACTCAAGAAGTGACTTTCTTTGCTAATTTATAAAAAGCAATTCCTCATCCATTTAAGTTTTATCATAAAATTGTGACAATTCAGTCACATCTTCAAGCTTCACTTCTAATTATAATTCTCTTGCTATTTCCATTACATCTACAGTTACATCCTCCACTGAAGTCATGAAACCCTCAAGGCCATCCATGATGGTTAGAATCAACTCTTTGAAACTCCTGTTGATGTTGATATTTTGACCTTTCCCACAAATCATAAATGTTCTTGATGGCATCTAGAATGGTTAATCCTTTCCAGAAGGTTTTCAATTTACTTTGCTCAGATTCATCAGAGAAATCACTATCTGTGACAGCTATATCCTAATAAAATGTATCTCTTAATTAATAGGACTTGAAAATTGAAATTATTCCTTGATCCATGAACTGTAGAATGTATATTGTGTTAGTAGGCATTACAACAACATTAATATCCCCGCACATCTCCATCAGAGTTCTTGGGTGATTAGGTGTGTTGTCAATGAGTGGTGGTCCTGAGACCTACCTCAGCAGCAGGTAGGTCTACTGCATGTGGTCCTTGGATGTACCACACTGCTGGGCTGGTCTCTGTGACTGTGAAGCAAGCATGAAAAGAGACATCATTTGCTTGAGTGAAGGAGACAGCAGTGGACACAAGATGTTACCTTGGAGCCCAGTGCTGGCCCTTCACCAGGGAGGTCCAGCATGGGTCACAGCCCCACGGTTCCTGACCCAAGTGGGTTATCATGGACAGGGCATCTGGACCTTTCCTAGCAACAGGTAGAAACTCACAGACCCAGCAGAATATATTGCCATCTTTGGCCCTCCTCTAGGGAACAACACACCAACCGAGGATATGGGATAAACCTAGGCTTAGGACACCTCCTACTGCTGAAAAAGTGGCAACATACTAACTGCAGACTCTTGGCAAACCTGGATTTTGGGCACTATTTAGAGGTGAAACTGTGGTAGTGATCACAGGCTCTGAGAACATAGTAATTAGCCTGTTTAGAATCTCTAGAAGGACTGGCATAAACAAAGCTGTGTTCTGAAGAGTGAAATAAATACCAAATCCTTGAATGTGCAGACATCATTATATACTCATAAGCATTAAGAACATTTGGGGAACCATGACCTCACCCCACAGACCTAATAAGGTACCGGATACTGACCCTAAAGTAATGAAGATGTAATTTCTTAGAAACGGATAATTTAAAATAGCTGTTCAAGGAAACTCAATGAACCTTAAGAATATGTAGAGAAACAATTGAATAATTTGTCAGAAAAACCTGAACAAAGAGTTTAAAATAATTTTTTTAAAAATCCAACAGAAATCCTGTAGGTGAAAAACACAATGAACTAAATAAAAAATATAATAGAGAGCATCAACAGCAGACTACATCAATTAGAAGAAAAAAATAGTGAGCCCAAAGACAGACTATTTGAAATACATGGAGGGGAAAAAATAATATAAAGGAATGAAGAAAGCCTACAGGAACTATTGGGTAGCATCAAAATAGCAACTTTTCATGTTTTCTGGGTTTAAGTGGGATTTGAGAATGTCAAAGGGGTAGAAAGAATATTCAAAAAATTGTAACAGACAACTTCTCAAACCCAGAGAAATATACAAAATCCAGACACAGGAAGGCCAAAAGCCGCTTAGATTAAACTCAAATGAGTGTTCCCCAAGACATATCATAATTGATCTCTCAAAGGTCGAAGACAAAGATAGGATTCTGAAAGCCACAAGAGAAAAGAAGCAAATATTTAATACGGAAGTTCCAAATTGCCTGGCAGCTGACTTATCAGCAGAAATCTTACAGGCCAGGAGGGAGTGTGATGATATAGTCAAAGTGCTCAAGGAAAAACAAAACAAAACAAACTGTCAACAGAAAATGCTGGAGCCAGCAAAGTTATCCTTCAGAAGCAAGAGAAATACTTTCCCAGACAAAAGCTCAGAGAGTATATCACCACCAGATCTGTCTTATAAGAAATTCTAAAAAGAGTTCTTTATACTGAAAGAAAGAGGTTCTAACTTGTAACAAAAAAAAAAAAAAAAACGTTTGAAGCTATAAAACTCACTGGTAAGAGTAAGTATATGAACAAATTCATAATACTCCTATACTATAGACATTGTGTGTAAACTAGACATATCTTTAGAATGAAGATAAGGGACAAAATTGTTAAAAATGACTATATTAATGGTGAAAATATAGGCAATTTGAAAAGATGTAAAGTTGAACATTAAAAATTCCAAATGTGGGGGGAATAGAATTATAGTGTAGACTTTTTTTGTTTGTTTGTTTCATTTCCTATCTTTATGATCAAAGTTAAGTTGTTATCAGTGTAAAATAACTTGTTATAAATCCAAGATGTTTTGGTAAGACTTATGATAACCACAAAGCAAAAACCTATAACAGATACACTAAAAATAAAAAGCAAACACATCGCTGGAGAAAATCACCTAACCACAAAGGAGGACAGAAAGGAACAAAGAACTGCATATAAACGTGTGCAATACACAAACACATAAGAAAACAAATAACAAAATAGCAGTAGTAAGGCCTTACTTAGCAGTAATTACCTTAAATATAAATGTATTAAATTTCCCAATTAAAAGATGTAGTTAGTGAATGGATTGAAAAAACAAGATCCAAATATATACAAGAAACTCACCTCACCTGTAAGGACACACATAAACTAAAAGTGAAATCATAGAAGAAGATACACATGGAAATGGAAACTGAAAAAGAGCTGGATTAGCTATGCTTATATTAGATAAAATATACTCTAAATATAAAACTGTAAAAAGAGACAAGGTCATTCTACAAAGATAAAGGGGTCAATTTACTAAAAGGATGTTAACAGTTGTAAATATATATGTACCCAACATAAAAGCACCTAAGTATATATAACAAATATTATTAGACTTAAAGAGAGAGAAATAGTCAAATGCAATAATAGTAGGGGACTTTAATACCCCACTTTCAGCAATGGACAGATCATCCAAATAGGAAATCAGCAGAGACACAGTGGAGTTAAATTGTACCCTAGACCAAGTGAACCTAACAGACCTATACAGAACATTCTACTCAACAGCTTCAGAATACGCACTCTACTCAACAGCACATGAAATAGTCTCCGGGTTAGGTCATATGGAAAACCATAAAGTAAGTCTCAACAATTAAAAAAAAAAACAAAATTATATCAGGTATCTTTTCTAACCACAATGCAATAAAACTAGAAATCAATAAGAACTTAGGAAACTATACCAATACATGGAAATTTAAAAACATGCTTCTGACCAACCAATAGGTAAATGAAGAAATTAAAGAAGAAATTAAAATATTTACTGAGATAAATGAAAATGGAAACACATCCTTCCCAAATCTATAGTACTCCCAAAATTATAGCATTCACTTAGGTGTTATAAACTTCCCTCTTGAAACTACTTTTGTTGTAATGCCTATATCAGAAAAAAATAAAATAAAATAAACAACCTAATGTTGCAGCTCAAGGAACTAGAAAAACAAGAATGTACCAAACCCAAATAAACAGAAAGAAATAATAAAGATAAGAGCAGAGATAAGTGAAATAGAGATTTTTTAAATCTATACAAAAAAATCAATTAAATGAAAACCCGGTTTTTTGAAAAGATAAACAAAATTGACTAACCTTTAGCAAGCCTAAGAAAATGAGAAGACTCCGATAAATAAAATCAGAGATAAAAAATAAATCATTAAAACTGACACCTTAGAAATACAAAGAATCACTAGAGACTATTGTGAACAATTATACCCCCACATATTGGAAAAGCTAGAAGAAATGCATAAGTTCCTGGACACATAGAGCTGACCAAGATTGAATCATGAATAAATAGATAATCTTATAAGACCAAAAATGAATGAAAATTAATAAGAAATAAAAAGTCTCCCATCAAAGAAAAATCTAGGACCAGAAGGCTTCACTGCTGAATGCTACCAAACTTTTAAAGAAGAACTGGTATCAATTATTCTCAAATTGTTTTAACAACAACAACAAAAAACTGAAACAAAGGGAATTCTTCTAAATTGATTCTATTAGACCAGCTTTGCCCTGGTTTCAAAATGAGACAAGGATACAAAACAGAACCGCAGACCAGTATTCATGATGAACATAGATGCAAAAAATCCCCACCAAAATACTAGCAAACCAAATCCAAAAGCACGTCAAAAAGATTATTCATCATGATCAAATGGGATTCATCCCAGGGATACGTATGGTTCAATATACGCAAATCAATAAATGTGATACAGCACATGACGAGAATGAAGAACATAAATTATATGATCATCCGAATAGATGAATAAAAAAACATTTGATAAAATTCCACATCCCTTTATGATAGACGCTTTCAACAAGTTAGTAATAGAAGGAATGCACCTCAATGTAATAAATTCTGTATAAAATAGACCCACAGCTAACATCATAGCCAACAGGGAAAAGCTGAAAACTTTCTCTCTAAGATCAGGAACAAGACAAGAATGTCCACTTGTATTACTTTCATTCATCATAGTACTGGAAGTTCTAGCCAGAGCAGTCAGGCAAGAAAAAGAAATAAAAGGTATACAAATTAGAAATGAGAAAGTTAGATTGTCCCTGTTTGGAGACAACATGATCATATACAGTTATATGTCCCTTAATGATGGGGATAAGTTAAGAAGTGCATTGTTAGGTGATTTCTTCATTGTGAAAACATCATGAAGAATACTTACATAAACTTAGTTGATATAGTCTTCTAAATATGTAGACTATATTTGTTAATAGGCTACACAACCATAGAACATGTTACTGTACTTAATACTGTAGACAGTTGTAACACAATAGTATTTGTGTATCTAAACATAGAAAAGGTACAGGAAAAATATGATATAAAAGATTAAAAATTATATACCTGCATAGGACGGCTCCATTATAAGCTTATGGGACCACCTTTGTATGTGCAGTCTTTCATTGATGAGAATTTCATTATATATCTTTCATCGGTGTTTTATATTGTTCATTGTAGAGCTCCTTTTACTTTCTTGGTTAAATTTCTTCCTAGGTATTTTATTTATTTCATAGCTATTGTGAAAGGGATTGCTTTCTTTATTTCTTTTTCAGATGTAGAAAACATATAGAATATTTTCAGATTCAATGCAATCTCCATCAAAATACCAATGGCATTCTTCATAGAAACAGAGAAAAAAACAATCATATAATTCGTATGGACCAAAAAAGACCCCAAATAGCCAAAGCAATTCTGAGCAAAAACAACAAAGCTGGTGGTAGCACACTACCTTATTGTGAAACGTACTACAATGCTATAGTAACCAAAACAGCAGGTACTGGCATAAAAACAGAAACATAGACCAATGGAACAGAATAGAAAGTTTATAAATTAACCCACACATCTACAGTCCACTTATTTTGGGCAAAAAATGCCAAGTATGTGTAAAGGAGAAAGGAGAGACCCCTCGATAAATGGTGATGAGGAAACTGGATATCGACATGCAGAAGAATCAAACTAGATTCTTAACTCTCACCATATACAAAAATCAACTCTGAATGGATTAAAGACTTAAATATAAGAACTGAAACTACAAAAGTACTAGGAGAAAGTAGGGGGAAAGCTCCATGACATTGGCCTAGGCAGGGATTTTTTGGATAAGAAGTCAAAAGTATCCTGAAAAGCAACAAAATATACACAAAGACATAGGCAGCAAATACAAACAAATGGGATTACATCAAACTAAAAAGCCTCTGCACAGAAAAGGAAATAATCAACAGAGCAAAGAGATAACCTACAAAATGAGAGAATATATATGCAAACTATATGTTTGATAAGGGATTAATATCCAAAATATATAAGGAATTTAAATAATTCAAGAACAACAAAAATAACCTTATTAAGAAATGATCAAAAGAGCTGAATAGAGATTTCTCAAATGAAGACATACAAATGAACAGGAGACATATGAAAAAATGCTCAACATTATTAATCACCAGAAAAATTCAAATCAAAATTAAAATGAGATACCCCTTACTTCTGTTAGAATGGATACTATTACAAAATCCAAATGTAACAAATGTTGGGGAGAAGGTGAAGACAAGGAAACCCTACACACTACTGGTGGAATTGGAGTTGTAAATTAATACAGCGATAATGGAAAACAGTATGGTGTAAAGGTTTCTCAAAATATTAAAAATAGTATTATCATAAGGTCTAGCAATCCCGCTACTGGGTATTATATCCAAAAGAAATAAAATCCGTATGTCAAAAAGATATCTGCACTCTCATGTTTATTGCAGCACTATTGACAATAACCAAGATATGGAATGAACAAACATAAATGTCTATCAGTGGATGAATTGATAAAGAAAATGTGATATACACACACACACACACACACACACACACACACACACAAAACAATGGAATACTATTCACCATAACAAAGAATGAAATCTTGTCATTTGCAGCAACATGGAGGAATCTGAATGGCATTATGTTAAATTAAATAAGGCAAGCACAGAAAGACAAATGCCACATGAGTTTATTAAATGGGAATCTAAAACATTGTCTTTCCAGAAGTAGAGAGTGGAATAGTGGTTATCATTAGGATTTGGAGGGTGTAAAGGAGGGATGAGAGATTGGTCAACAAGCCCCAAGCTATATTTAGATAAGAATAAATTCTGGTGTTCCATTGCATAGTAGGATGATTAGAGTTAACAATAATGTATTGTTAAATACAGTGTATATTTCAAAGTACCAAGAAGAGAGGTTTTTTAATGTTCTCATTACAAAGAAATGATAAATGTTTAAGGTGATGGACATGCTAATTACCCTGATTTGATCATTACATAACTTATACATGTATGGATATATCACATTCTACTCCACAAATATGTATAATTATTATGTGTCCATTATAAAATAAAGCTTAGTTGGGAAAATTGCCTGAAACATTAAGTTGAAACTATAAATTTTATTCTTGGATTTAGTAAAGCCATCTGAGACTTGTGTTTTGCATATTCCTTCTTTTAATTTTTTTTTTTTTTACTTTATCTAAGGTCAGGATAATTTCTCCATTTTCTTAGTTTTATCCTGTTTTATTGTACATATTGTTGAAAGTTTCTTTAGGATTTTTAATGAGTTTATGCCTAATTAATTAAAAGTAGAGGATTTTATTTGCCAAAAGATTATAGTTGAATAAGACATACAAATATGTATTAATAAAGATACACAAAATAAGTAACATAAAATGCTTATCTTTCCATTGATTTCCCAGTATTAAATAAAACCATAATATAAAACTCATTTAATCTTGCTATCAGCCCTTTAAAAATTAACCTGTCTGATGATTCTTGATGGTTTTATCTAAATATCTCAATGAAAGCTAGAGGAGGGGCTAATGGGTGGATGTTCCTTATTTCTTCCTTATCCAGGATTCATATGGCTTACATATTAATTGCTAATTTAACCTAAATGTAGAATTTCTTTTTCTGTAATGAAAATTAAGTGATTACCTTGCCCTTTCATTGTTAAATGCTTTTTACACTTTGCCTGTAAATTAAAGTCACAGAAGATTGATGAAAATAAAGGTCATTTATAAATTCATAGCTATTCCAGGGAGAAATACTTTAGGAAACAATGTAATAGAAGAGGCAGAGTTACAATGAAATATTATTTTTACTTAAGTCAGGTAGACAATTATGATTAACATGAAATATCCATTTTGCCCACGGGCAGAAACCAGAGGGGCAATAAAATTACTTACACATTACTTCTTACCATTCCAACTTTATAGGAAACTTTTAAAGAATCTGGCAAAATGGTTATTTGTAACATTTTGATTCGGTTGTGCTTATACTTTCTGATGTGAATGAGAGCTAAGAGAAAACATTTGAATCTGATTACCTCTATGAAGATATTTCAATAAAGATATTATGTATTTTCAGGTATTTCTACTCTCAAGAATATGATTTGATAGGTCTCTTTGTGGTACTGTAGACTGGTAAATGCCATTTGGGTGAGTTATGCAGTGGGGTTGCAGGCGTCAAACCCCAAATTCACTGTCTGACATGAAGGGGAATGAACAAGAGTCTCAGGTTGCTGGAAATGGTAGAGAGCTGGTGGAAGCTGAGCAGAAGATTAAAAAAAAAAACTGGAGACATCAAGCAAAACTTTAGGAAATGTGTAATTGGATATGAATAGAGAATAGTAACAAGAGTCCTACTTACCAAGTAAGGGTAATTTTATATTATCTTTGCAGCATGCTCACTACAAAAACCCAACTTGGTGCATCCACTTAAAGGCTCCTTGATTTACTGAAGTCTCTTTAATCCAAAACCTGGATAATAATTGTAGTTAATAATTAATAATTAATACGTAATGAGAATTGTCAGTCACTGTTCTGAATGCTTTACATAACAAACCATAGTGTTACTATCAACCGTGCTTTATAGTTCAACAAACAACAGTATTCCATTAAGTAATTTGTCCAAGGACTCATGGAGCAGATCGAGGATGGACCAGGTCATCTGGCTCCAGCATGTGTAACTTTTTTCTCCTGTACTCTCCTTTTTGATGACCTGTAAATTTTGATACTTTTTCAAAGTGAAAATTTGAAAAAGTGGTATCTTTTCAAATGTTGTGAAAATTTGAAATCTATTATTTGTTGGTAATTCTGTCAGCCAACTTGCAACAACAAGTTGCACTCATATGGACTTTTAAGAAACTGTAGAAAAATACAGTTTATTAAAGGAAAATGAAACTTGTCAACAACTACAATCACTGTGGAATGACTGCCCCATTTAAGTAACTTAATTTGGTAGCTTTCTATTAAACGCCAAGGGATTTGTAGCTTCAAACACATTACTATTACCTCAGATTTCCTTATGAATAGCAACAGAGTAATTAAATACAGGTTGATATTTTATACTAAGAATTATTAGAAAATTAGAAATCTGTATGTATTACATAATCTAATGAAAAATAAAAAATACTGTGGTACAATTATATTAGCAGCTACATGTATGGACTCAGTGACCTTTGGGCTTCTTTCTAGCCCTAAGATTTGACCCTGATGGGATAATTTAAGAGTACTGTCCAGTGGGATCAAGAACGTGGCAGTTCTTGTCCTTTTACAGAGGTGTTGTGCTCCACGGTCATCCAATCAGGCACCCAGATAGTATTCTTGCTCTGTTCCAGATGGCAGAGCAACAGCTAGGTTGCAATGAACAGTATGACAGGCCCTGACATTCCCAATTACAGTGTCACCCATAGGTTGTGGAAATCAGATTATGCCCGTAGTAACTATTTTTCATAAAGAGCTCTGCCATTCTAACCCTGCTGAGTGGTACTTAAGCTGCTTGTTGGTCCATATTCCCTGTGACACTTGCAAAAATCGGGTACCTAAATATACCTCAGGAATATAATGATGTTTCCTCCTCCATTTAGGAGACTTTGAAACAAAATTTAAAGCAATAACAGAACATTGAGTTCATTGGAAAAAAATTACACTTAAATGAAGGGTAACATTTGTCATATATACTTCATTTTAGCAACTTCTGTTTCTTTTTAAATCAGACTCTTGGATAATAAAAACAGTACCCCTGTTCTCTCTGGCACATAAACACTTTCAGTTCTCTTTAGAGCATCATGCATGACTGGTGCTCAGTAAATGTTAAAAAAAATTAAATAAGTAAAATTAAAAAAAAAAAACACCTTTCCTATAACCACTAGGTGTTATTGGGAGGTAGAGAATTGCATTGGTATTAACAGATATAGCCCTGCTCTTATACGATTTGTGCACCAAATGGGAATTTGTTTTGACACTGAATTATCTGACAATGTAATGCACTTACAATGCCAAGCACAGAATTATTGATTAATACATACTAGTTGATAATGAGTATTAATTTATTCTGTTTTCCTGAGACAAACTTGTCTGTCTTTAGAGGCAACTATGCTTGGGCCCTTAAAACTAGCAACTGTGAATGAAAATATAAATCCCATTAAAAATTTCTAACCTTTTCAAGGACCAATTCCTTTAGTATGGTGAAGGAGCCATTTCCTTAAATAGTTCTTGTTAATACCCACTCAAGCCTCAGATTATTTTTGAAATAATTTTTTTGTTTCTGTTGTTTTTGTTATTATCTTTGTTCTACTGTCATTTCTTCACCTCTCTCACCATCATATACCAAGCCTGGGCAACTTCCACACATTTACTAATGCTTTTTCTACCTTGAGCAGTTTTATTCCACCACTGTCATGTGAGAATCATTTTCGCCTGTGTGGACGCCCCAGTCAACATGCAGACGTTGCAGTTCCTTGGCCTTCACTATTTACTGTACTTCAGACCCCTTATCTGTGGCTTTATTCTAAGTTTTTCTTAGACCTAGAGTGGCTCTACATCTTTATTCAGCCTTTACACACATTACACAAACAATAGTCTTCAAAAAATGTAATTACTTCAGAGTGAATTAAAATATAGATACAGAAAACAACACAAAACAAATATGTGTCTTAATGAATAATTATAAGACAGAAAATTTGTACTTACTATCAGTTTAAAGACAGAACTTTCCAGGATTCCTGGGCAAGATAGCAGAATAGGAGCAGCTCCAGTCTGCAGCTCCCAGCGAGACCAATGCAGAAGTTGGGTGATTTCTGCATTTCCAACTGAGGTACACGGTTCATCTCATTGGGACTGGTTAGGCAGTGGGTGCAGCCCAAGGAGGGCGAGCAGAAGGAGGGTGGGGCATCACCTCACCTGAAAAGTGCAAGGGGTCAGGGAACTCCTTCTCCTAGCCAAGGGAAGCTGGATCATGCCATGGGGGATGGTGCTATCCTGCCCAGATACTACACTTTTCCCAGAGTCTTCGCAACCCACAGACCAGGAGATTCCCTCAGGTGCCTGCACCACAAGGGCCCTCGGTTTCAAGCACAAAACTGGGTGGCCATTTGGGCAGACACAGAGCTAGCTGCAGGAGTCTTTTTTTTTTTTTTTTTTGTAACCCAGTGGCACCTGAAATGCCAGCCAGACAGAACTGTTCACTCCCCTGGAAAGGGGACTGAAGCCAGGGAGCCAAGCGATCTAGCTCAGGGGATCCCACCCCCACAGAGCCTAGCAAGCTGAGATACACTGGTATGAAATTATTGCTGCCAGCACAGCAGTCTGAAGTCAACCTGGGATGCTCCAGCTTGGTGAGGGGAGGAGAGTCCACCATTACTGAGGCTTGAGTAGGTGGTTTTCCCCTCACAGTGTAAACAAAGCTGCCTGGAAGTTCACACTGGGTGGAGCCCACTGCCACTGGGCAAATCCACTGTAGCCAGACTGCCTCTCTAGATTCCTCCTCTCTAGTCAGAACATCTCTGAAAGAAAGGCAGCAGCACCAGTCAGGGGCTTATAGATAAAACTCCCATCTACCCGGGACAGAGCACCTGGGGCAAGGGGTGGCTACGGTCGCAGCTTCAGCAGACTTAAAATTTCTGCCTGCCGGCTCTGAAGAGAGAGTGGATCTCCAAGCACAGCACTCGAGCTCTGCTAAGGTGCAGACTGCCTTCTCAAGTGGGTCCATGTCCCCCCAAGTGGGTCCCTGTCCCCCATGCCTCCTAACTGGAAGACACTTCCCAGCAGTGGTCTACAGAAAGCTCATACAGGAGAGCTCTGGCTGGCATCTGGCAGGTGCCCCTCTGGGACAAAGCTTCCAGAGGAAGGAACAGGCAGCAATCTTTGCTGTTCTGCAGCCTCCACTGGTGATACCCAGGCAAAGAGGTTCTGGAGTGGACCCCCAGCAAACTCCAGCAGACCTGCAGAAGAAGGGCCTGACTGTTAGAAGGAAAACTAAGAAACAGAAAACAATAGCATCACCATCAACGAAAAGAATGACCATGCAAAAACTCCATCAGAAGATCACCAACAGCAAAGACAAAAGGTGGATAAACCCATGAAGAGGAGGAAAAAACAGCCCAAAAAAGGCTGAAAATTCCAAAAGCCAGAATGCCTCTTCTCCTCCAAAAGATCACAACTCCTCACCAGCAAGGGAACAAAACTGGATGATGGAGAATGAGTTTGACGAATTGACAGTAGTAGACTTCAGAAGGTGGCTAATAACAAATTCCTCCAAGCAAAAGGAGCATGTTCTAACCCAATGCAAGGAAGCTAAGAACTGTGAGAAGAGGTTAGAGGAATTGCTAACTAGAATAACCAGTTTAGAGAAGAACATAAATAACCTGATGGAGCTGAAAAACACAGCATGAGAACTTCGTGAAGCATACGCAAGTATTAATAGCCAAATCGATAAAGCAGAAGAAAGGATATCAGAGATTGAAGATCAACTTAATGAAATAATGCATGAAGACAAGATTAGAGAAAAAAGAATGAAAAGGAATGAACAAAGCCTCCAAGAAATATGGGACTACGTGAAAAAACTAAACCTACATTTGATTGGTGTACCTGAAGGTGACAGGGAGAATGGAACCAAGTTGGAAAACACTCTTCAGGATATTATCCAGGAGAACTTCCCCAACCTAGCAAGACAGGCCAACATTAAAATTCAGGAAATACAGAGAACACCACAAAGATACCTCTCAAAAAGTGCAACCTCAAGACACATAATGATCAGATTCACCAAGCTTGAAATAAAGGAAAAAATGTTAAGGGCAACTAGAGAGAAAGGTCGGGTTTGTTTTCTTCTCAGGGAACCATCTCATCCTATTTGGAAATATTTTACTCACCTTCAGTATTTCACTTTCTGTTAAATTTTATTTAATATCTTTTTTTATTTCTTTTTGGCCTTTAAATTTTCATTTCTATCTTTTATTTTTCATAATTTTTATTTTTGTGTCTTCTAAATTAGTCTAAATTTATGAAATTGTCTTTTTATTTCTAATCTTTGCCTTAGTTTTAAAATCTAATTTTTTAGATCCTAAAACATTATTCTTCCTAATTCTGATTTATCTTTAACTCCAATATAATTTTCTTAATGTCTTTTAGGTTGTTTAGAATCGTGAAAAACAGTTTTCTTGTATTTTATGACCATATCCTTCTGGTATGCTTTCATTGTTTGTGGAATGTTATATGGATCAATATTCTCTTTTTAAGTTATAATAACTGCATGAGACTGGATTTGATCCTTTTCTTTTGCTCATTTTCATGTGAACTTATATTTTTCTGAATCTTCTAGAAAGAGACAAGGTTCATACATGTCTTATAAATTTACATAGTTCCTTCTTTTGTTGTTTTTGTATTGAGTTAAACAATATAGTGGATTGCTTTTGTCATTTCCTGGCTCTCATCCCTTTTCTCACCTATATCTTTTCCTTTTTTTTTTTTCAGTTATTGCACTGTTCTGCTCCAATTTTGACTTTACTCTTGGTAATTTTTGCTCAGTATGATGAAATGGATCCCTGCCTGTCAATTTGGAGAGGGTATAGTGGCTGCATTGCTCTTTAGAACTTACAGTGGGTGCCTTGTACCCACCTGCTACTGTGTTCAGAAAAACTCCTCTCATGTTCAACTGCTGATCTCAAATTGGCCCACTACATTTTCCAGTGAATACAATTTAATGATTTTGGGATTCTCCTATTCTCAGCTTTGTCAGACAACTTGCTTCTCTCTCCTTTATCCTGAACAGATGCTAATAAAAGACAGATTACCATCATTTATGTTGTGTGGTTCAAGGGGAATCCTTGTCACCTCGTTTTGTTATGGATTTGCTATCCAGTTGCTCAGTTTGTATTTATGAGAGCATTCCAGGAGATTTCAACACTATGCCACCACCACTGCCTCCACTTTCACAATATTCTCAGATTTCTTATATCTAAAAACCAAATTTCTAAATTTCCACTATACATTCTCTATAATTTTGCATCTCCCACTGTCTTGCTTAATTAAATATTTTTTATAGCTATCAAAGCTTCAAGTCTTTCTACCCCTTCCTGTTTTTTCAGCCTTTGAGTCATTTGCTATTCAGACAGAATCCTGGGATTAATCAATCACTTTGAAGTACTCAGTAGTGCTGTCATTTCCCTAGTCTTCTTTTCCTTTTTCAAAACAATTCCTGTCAAAGTCCCATTATATTTTAAGCTAAATTTCATGCTTCTTTACCCTTATATATATCTATCAAGCGTCACTGAAAATTGGCAAATGGAATTGCCAGACACAATTATACATAATTTCCAAACTCTTTCAAACATCCAGTTGAATTGTTGATGTACGTTGGTAATTCTTTTGTTTGTTTCCACTTAGCACCCTTTCAGATTCTCCATAGCAAATTCTCAGTCATCACCAGTCTTCAGAAGCCCTTCAGCCACTCCTCTTAACTATTAGCAGATCACATATTTTGCTAATTCCCAAAGGAAATCCACTTTGTCAGATACTCTTTTTCCCAATCTTAACCCTAACTTTATTCAAGTAAATTATTTTTCCCTCCCATCACTGTCTTTCAGTGCCCCTTTTTCATGAATTTTCAACATGTAACAACATTCTATGATTCTGCAGTCTTCTAATTAACCCTAACCCTAACTCTAACCTTAATGCTTATTTTATATTTATTTGTCAATACATTGCTAAAGACCTTTGCCTTTCATTATTCTGGTAAAAATACATTCCTCAGTACTTCTGCTAATTTCCTAAGAGCTAAGATTCATGGACTTGGTTTCTCAGCAGCATTTTGTTTGTGCTTAATATAACACGTCATTTATACATTAAACTCTTGACTTCTAGAGATGCAGTCATTTTTGTGGCATATTAAAGACCTTGGATTTTCTGTAATATGTTTTCCTGTTGCCTTTTCCTTTTTTTTCTGAAACTCACTTTGCTTCTTTAACACTAATCTTTCCTATTCTTCTCAGTTACCTTTGATGATAATTTTCCACTGCTTTCACCACCCTCCATATTTTAATGATTCTCAGCCTTATTTCCTATGCTTTTTATATCTCACTCCACATATTTTTCATGGTTTAGCCATTGCATTTATGCCTTCTTTTCAATCCACATTCTCCATTGCCTTAATTCAGAATTTCATCTAACCTTGCCAACAGTTTCATCTAGCTAGCTTCACCATGTTTTGTGTCTCAAATAAATAATGTAAATATTTCTTAAGCATCCTAATATTCTTAATATCTCAAATATAATCAGTTCTTAATATCAGAATGAGTAGGTGCTAAATAGCACTCCTTTAGAATTCTAATAGAGTAATATTTAAAATGTGATTTCTTGGAAATTTACTATTGTGCAGATAATTTTATGGTGCCATTTTATTGTTAGATGTTTCAGTTTTGCCTGCACACATTTAAGTGTTTTGTTAGAATTATTTTTGTGGACACTAATATTCATTTACATGTGCCATAAGAATTCAGAATTCACTAAATCACTTATCTTTCTTGAAAGCAAAGGAAAATAGTCATAAGTTAATTTGTCATGAAAATCGTATTTCTGTAATGGGTGAAATACATTTAATGAACTATTTCTTGGGGGTACTTTTCTCAGCTGAAGCATATTTTGAGAAATGTGAGAAGCCATGATTATAAATCCACATAATACTTCATTAAGTCTATTTACAGAAAACACATTTGTCATTTTTAATGATACAACATTAATAATTTCATACCCTAAAAATATCTTTATTAGTTCAGAATAATTGTGTTGATTTCAGAGAAAACCTTGTCGTTTTATTCATGCCTTGAGATAGCCCCATAAACAATTTTCATATTTCCAGACTCAAACTCTGAATTCTCTGGCTATCTATTGTTCCTCTGGGAAAATGCTAATCTCTGAAAGAGTCTCTCCCCAGGGTACACACAGCAGAGTGTCATAACTTTTTTCTTTACTGATTTTTTCATGGGAGCTCTTCTTTATTCCACTCAGAAATGGGGAAAATATCTGTTATCAACTTTGGTGGAGTTTTATCACCAGAGCTCCCCAACATCATTGGATAATGTTAAATCTTTAAAAATTTATTTGGCTTTTGTATGTAGTCTCTTATTTTTCAGAAGGTAAAAGCCTGTCCATGAAGATGAAGACGGAAGACATTAAACCATCTCCTTCATTTTTCTTCTCTTTTACAAAATTCATCCCCCCTCCTTCAGTCCAATATTATACAAAGATACCAAAGGTAGACAGGAAGCATCTGCAATCTCCATTATTCAATATCTCGTTAGGGATTATACCTCACAGGACTATATGGCCACACAAAAATTTGTACTAATTGGAGGAGTACAAGAAAGGAATAACAAAATATCTGGTTATATCATTCTCTAACGTATGAAAATTAGAAATGCATTTTATTTATCAAGGAATTTGGTTCATAATTACATATAGCATTTCTACATCCTTCTTGATGGTATCCATTATGATCTACCTAATTGTTTCTAATAGGACAATAATAAATTTGGAAAACAACTAGTGTAATGAAGCACTGTGGTGATAAACAGCTTTTCACAAGCCTATGAAATACAAAAGTATGTATAATAGTTTGCTACTGAAGCTGCATTTTTCAGGATACTTTTTGAAACGGGATAGTTCCCTTGACCCCTTTGCAGGACTTGCAAAGGAGTTAGCTCATTTACTCAGCCCACAGCTCTCAACCCCTCACAGGAGGTGGAGCATGCAGGTGAGTGGGTGCAGAGGTAGGGATGAGCACTTCTGAGCAACTGGCAGGAGCAGAACTCCATGTGGGCCTGCAACAGAGTCTAGGGGTTGCCTAAAACCCCTGGACCCCAGAGGGCATGTGTTACAATGTGCTCCTTTAGTTTTGCTGTCCGTGGATGGCTTAAGTGGTAAACAGCTCAGTGGAGGGTCAGTGTGACAGCCTCCTGCACCCACACCTGGGTCCTTCTCTGGCATCCAGGAGGAATCAGGTTGCACAAATGAATTGAAGATGGTAAATGCAGAAGATTTTATTGCCAGTGAAAGTGGCCCTCAATAGGATGGGGAAAGGGGATGGAGTAGGACGGTGGTTTTCCCCTGGAGTATGGCTGTCCCTGGCTGAACTCTTCTCTGAGTTCCCACCATGAAGCCATCCCTCTGGAGTCAAGCTGCTTCTCACCGATGTTAAGCTGGTTCTTCTCTTCTCTCCTTCTCTGCTGTGATGCTCTGCCCTCTCCCAGTGAAGCCTGGGGTTTTTATGGCTACAGAATCGGGGGCAGGGCAGGCCAGGGTCATTGTGGAAAAGGCAACATTTGGGTGGGAAAACAGGAATGCATGTTCTTACTTTAGGCCACAGGTCCAGGCTTGAGGGTGGAATCCTCACCAGGGACCCTGCCCTTTTCTACTAGTATTTCTCTGCCTCCTATCCATATCATTTTGATTGTAAATGACGGGAATTCAACTTAGAGTACCTTTATCATAGGAGGAATTAATAAGTGGATTCCGGGGGTATCTCACATACTTGAAGGAAGGATTGAGTATTTAAATTCTGGAACATGGAGGACTTCAGCTGAGCCTCAGGAGCAACTAGTAAGCAGGATTCCAAAAGCGTGAAAGCTTTTCTTCATTGCCAATCTCTGTTTTAATCTAGATTTCAGCTTTATTGTCCTCTATTTTATACCTGTTTCCTACACAGGACAGGAAACATGGCTACACTTAGCTCTGAATTTCATATTTAAATCTCAAATCAGAAGAGAGGTTCTCTGTCCCAATTCCAATTTTTAAACATCCCAAGAAAATGTCCTTGTTGATCAGGTCACATATCTATCTTTGTACCATTCAAATGTTAGAAGACAGATGTAGTAATAAAAGTATGAAATCGTTTCCATGAAAGGAGAAGTCTAGCACATAATATGGAGGGAGAAGGGTATCCACTGGACAGCCTTAAGATTTATCCATCATTTTCCTTCATCTTCAACTCAAATCAAGACAAAAAGAAACCACTTTATCATAAATGTGCAAAATATTCCTAGGAATTCTTCTGTGATATGTAATAAAGTTGGGTTGTTCACACACACACACACACACACACACACACCAGTGTGTATTTGCTCTCTCTTTAAACTAAGAATTTCATTTTGGCCCTTTTTCTTGTCAGAAGATGGGTTTTAATAATCTTTAATCATTTTGTTTCCTAATTTTTCTTAGTCTGGAAGTCAGATTAACTGGGCAGTAATCCAGCCCCAGTCCTACACTTCCATTAGCTCCCTTTTAAGAGATGAGTCTTAAATTTTGGATTCGTCACCTCCTAAAGTAGCTGTTTTAATGGTAAATTATCAATTCCCATTGGGCATACAACTATTTTCTTCATTCTAAATTCTGAGATCAATACCCTATTGTGTTTTTGATGTATTTCAATATTGCAATTAATTCCTTTAGTTATTTCCATCCAACACTGGCAACAATATTATGCATATACTAAATACTTAAATCTGACTTTTCAGAGGCTACAGGAAGAAGAGTAGGTGACTTTGTGTATATAATATTATATATAATTTCTCTTTTTTCTCCCAAAAAGTGTCCAAAAATGTATGAACATCTAAAAAATTTTAACAATAACAAACCATGCTGATAACTGCAAATATGAGATGATAAATGAAAAAAACAATACAAAGGAACAATTTAATTGCATAGTTTTATACTCTAGTAGTGAATATATTTACATAAAGATATGTTCTGGTTTGAATAACTCTTTGAAATGTGCTACCATTCAGTACATTTTGTTGATTTTGGAAGATCTTTCCTTTCCTTGATCTGCTTTAACAGAGAACTTGATTTTATTCTTTTGTCTTACTGAGTTCTAATTTTGCATGATTCCATTTAAGCAACTTCAGTAAATTATTGTTGCCCCAAATTTATGTCTTTGACAGCATATGTCATTCACAATTGTCAAACTCACTCTCTGTTTAGACACAACTTTAATACTCAAGAAATTTAATTTTCCCATTGAAAAATATTAGGGAAACACTTAAATCCTCTCTGTCCTTCAAGTATAACACTTTACTTTCTTTAGAAGTCTTTCCAAGACCCTCCAGCTACATTTGATCTCACTTAAGAAGTCATTTAACCCCAAGAAACTTCATTATTATATTCATTTTCCGATTATTGTACTGTATCTTTTAGCACATTTCTGTATAAATGTGACATTTTCATCTATTACATATATAAGCCTTTTTAAGGTATCTTAATTGTTAAAAATGCATCAACATTACCTTTGTTCTTCCTAGATATATTCAGAATGCCAAAAGAAAATAGGACACATTCAAAGGTGGTGATTTACAAGAATTTAATGAAGAGGATATCTATAACGTATGGTCAGTATTAAAGGAAGCTAATAAGAAATGATGATGTGCTTCCAGGATAGTAACAGTGGGGAGCCTTACCGTTCCTAGGCCTAGAGGGACAAAGGAAGAGAGACCATAAGCTATAGAAGAAGGCTGCCATAAGGGAGCTGTATACTCTAATAATAGAGGAACCTAATATTGCCAAACCAAGATGCAGCAAGGTGGGAGCCAGGGTTATAAGCACTCCAGTTACTCTATCCTACTCTCCAGGTGCTTGAATTGTCTCCAGTTGGCCAAGCTCATCAATAACCCAAAGGGAAGGAGCATGGCAAGTCAGGTTTCACAGACTTCACAGAGAAGCTCAGGACACAGAGCACGATACTGAAGGGTAGTCAGTGGGTCTAAATGGACAAATTGAGATGATCTAGAACAATAATTAACATATAAAGTCTTCAATCCAGTATGTTGCCACAAAATATAACCACATTCACATCACTGCTCAGATTTTATCACATGCTTCATTGAGAAGGAAGAATAGAATGGATTCTATATTATAGGACTTTGGGATCATTTATGCGTTTATGAAGTCCATATGTTATCTCTAAATCAATCCCCATAATTAAAGGGGCTACATTTTTTCTAAATTGTCATTTCTAATGGAAAAAATGACTTTGAACTGTTTTTGATATTATCCTTGAAAACTTGGGTACATAAGTCAATACCTCCATTTTGGCACTCTGTAAAATAGATTTGTCTATAGAGGTTTGTGCATCATAGGCTGTCTTAAGAACTAAGTAAAATAATGTATATATACCATTTAATGTGGTGCTTTGGCACATCACAAACATTTAATAAATATTGTTATGTTTTTAGCTTACTTTAGGAATGCAACAAGAAACTGCCTTAGGTAACATGTCTCTGAATAAATTACTTTATGTAATTGAGAATCTATTTATAGAGTCATAAAACACTTATTTCACGTTTTATGTATTTTATAATTACAATTTAAATTTGCATTTTATTTATAAATATATATATTATTCATCAGAAACATTGTACATTTTATAACTCATCATCTTTTATTTTGTTTTGGCCACAGAAAACTCATGGTCAAATGTGCTGCCTTGCAGTACCTCCATGCTTGAATGTCTGTAGGCATTAATTTTTAAACTGTTATATTGTATGATTTTATTTGGAAGAGTTCCTATTGTGAAGGTAAGAGAACTATAAACATAAATAAATACATCTTTCTGAGACTTGGATTTAATTATGTGGAAACTTAGGATATGTCTGTCCTTTCATCCTCCCTCTTAGCAGAGGCATTAGGAATACAATTAATATTTCTCTAATTATATTAGATATCACTCTGTTTGTGAGAATAATTCTGTATTTTCAAAGTTTCATGGGATTAAGTAATTCGAAACAAATATTTGAAACAGGTTGGATTAAATTTTCAATTTTGCTTTGTCAGTGAAATTCCTTTTTGTTGTTTGAAATTCAACAACTGAATCCAGTGCCATTACGAAGATGCTCAAATATTGTATAGTGTTTTTCTAAAACTACCTATGCAGCATTGAATTTGTCTTAGAATTTTCTGCAGTGACAAATGTAAAATATATTTTAATTTTTTTAATTATTGTTAAATGCTGAAACCTGATTCCAGGCTGTCCAATAATGCTACATACATAGTAGCTGCCTACAGGATTTCTAACTTGTGTTCTGGTGACCGTTATGTTAAATACAGCCATCTTTCTCTGTTATATTTCACAAGAAAGATTAACATGTAAATCTGTAAATAATTGTGTATTAGATTAATAGAAAAAAACACTTTTCATTTAAAATAAGAGACAAAACAGCATGATAAATAAAAATATAATGAAAAGCATTTCCTTACACAGAGAAACCCAAGATGACTTTATTCACAGTGGGCAGACAGTTAGTTATGGATCATGGTGAATTATTGTTTGTGCTTAGTTCATGATTTAAAGCAATTTTTTTAGATATGTCCCGCTGAATTTTTCTAGTGGGCTTTGCTACCTTGATTATCATACCTTTGCAAGTCAGTTAGGAAGGAATGCAGTTTGCCTTTGGAGAAGTTAGGTATTATGATAAAAATATTGTGTAGAAATAGCTTAAAAATATAGCTGACTTCTCTAAGAGCAAGTCTTCCAACAGTGACACACAAAAAATGTTCCCTTTTAGTAGCAAATGCAAAACATATTGATTGTCTCTGAAGTATGTCATTTGCCATTTTGCATCAAAGCACTTTAAAACCTTTTAACATCATGGAAGTAGAAACTAAAGTACATTAAATGTACTTTCTGTGGTATAATTTTCTTCAGAATATTAGATCTTAGCTATAGAATAATTATTACATTTCATGCACACTTTCATGAATTTACTAAATTTTCCTTTCAATTTCTGTCATGACTTCAATGGTATAAATAATTACAAATAGTAGTCTTTTTCTCACTTCCTCTAATACAGATGAAATTATAAATTAAAATATTTTTCTCTTAGAAGTCAAGTAATCAGTATTTTTATCTTTGTTTTGGGGAAAATAGTCATAAAAATTATTCCCTTCCTAGAGGTAAAATCATAACATTTTTGTACTATAAAATTTGATAATTTAAATAATCTAAAATACTTTACACATTTATTAATACACATGTTATCCTCTCTGATAAAGCCATGTAACTGATAAATTTCTGAAAACTTTGATAAAATAAGAGATGAGACACATACACACCAAAAAACCCACAATTATTTTATAGCATCATCTATTACTTGTATATTATTTTATGATATTGATCATAAGATCCTAAAGCATAGCCAGACATTTCTGAATTTCTCAATCACTTAGAATTTACATTTGGACAGTTTTATATTGATAAATTATGTCAGGGTGTTACATGATTAGAGTGAATCGCAAAACTGTGGAGACTAGGTGATTTTACAAGCAAGGTGTTATGCAGATACTCTTAGCCAGCAACATTTATTAAATTGCTTTGCTGAAAACAACAAAAAAATGCCATTGTAATGATGCTACGTGTGCATTTTCAAATGTATGGTATGATGCCTTTTCCCTTATGTTGTAAACGTACTTAGAAAGACAAACATTGTATTTCTTAATGGATTTTTTAAATCAGAGGAGATGCTATGGCCACTGGCACTGTACATTTCTGATGTATTTATTTGCTCCTCAGTCTCATATTGCTTTGTGATATAGCTTTCTTATTCATTTATCAATTAATTCTTTCCTTCAGTTTAATTAACAGAGTAACTACTATGTGTCCAGCTGACAGGTGTCAAGGTTGTCTGTTAGGACAATGAGCATAACCGAAGGTATAATCAAGCCCTCATTCAGTTGCTGCGGTAGTTCAATCAAAAGGCAGAAAGGTGTTGTGGGCCATTTTTCTCCAAGGGGTGGCACCAGGTGAGTATCAGATGGATGCAGCACAGATGAGGCAAACTGTCTCACTGACAAGAAGCCCCCAACAAAAGGCTCCTATCTTACTGGACTGAGTGTTGAATCAGACCTTGGAAAATTGCCTCATTCAAGATCCCAGATAAAGAAGTCATCACAGAGGTCCCTGGAACTAGGAATGCAGACGTACATATGAGTATTGGCTAGCCTGAAGGCCTGAGTCCTTGACTGCAACACTTTTCAGAAAACTGCAGTGCATTAGCTGTACAACAAGGCTGATGTGGGAAGGGCAGCTTCCCTCCCATCCCCATAAGGCCTGGCAGGCAATTTCATAATTGCTTCTGGTAGGTCTGAAAGATCATACATAGGATCTTGGCCTGGAGTCAGCCTTCTTAAAATGTGCTGTACACTAGTAAGAATAAAAGAATGAACTTAATATGGTCCTTGCTCTTCAGTAAATTAAGTTTTGTCAAATGCAGCATTTTTCTTCAAAATAAAAAATGTATTCTGCAATGATAAATTCAACAGATATTTCTACAGGTTCTGCAAGATCTTGGAGTAAATTTATTATTCATTTTTTTATATTTTTTTAGATGTAGGATCTTGCTGTGTTGCCCAGGGTGGAGCAGAGTGATGGAATCATAGTTCATTGCAGTCTTCAACTCTTGGACTCATGTGATTCTCCCACCGCAGCCTCCTGAGTAGCTAGGACTACAGGTGTACCACCACCACACCTGGCTAATTTTTAAATTTTTTATAGAGATGAGGTCTCACTATGTTGCACAAGCTGGTCTCAAACTCCTAATTTCAAGCAATCCTACCAACTCAGTGGCCTCCCAAAGTGTTGGGATTACAGGTGTGAGCTATTTTTATTATTTATTTGGTCTTTCAGCAAATACTATTGAGCATCCCTTCCATTCTCGTCAGTGTCAGGACATGGAGACATGAAGATGAACTAATAGAATTGCCTCCTAGGCAAACACTTTTAAAGTCCCTATTATTTGCTAAATGACATCAAGACCCTTTAATCTGGCATTTAAATAATTTAATTTTATGACCCCAACTAACTTTCTAGACAAAAAGGCTTCACAGTGAATTCCTGGAAGTGAATCCTTTCCCCACATTTCACTACAACCAACATTATCTACTGATTTACACAATTTACAGAGCCACTTAATGAACCTTGACTTCTTTGAACCTTTTATGAACATCTACCTAATTCCCAACATCACAATCTCTTCATCTTCACACAATTCTTTTAGCACTTATTATCATGTGCTTTGTATTAATTATAATTTAATCATGTCAACATATGAAATCATAGCTCTGTTAAGATGAGATGAGTTCTCCTTTTGTGTAATCCACAATAGCACATTTGCTGGCACAACCTGAGTGAGAACTCAATATGACTTTGTGTAATTTAATGCAATATAGTGTTTTAATCCATTTTTATCATCTATGAAAAAACTCTTTAATCCAAAAATCAGTTTGCGCTATGCTAGGGCTGACAGAAATATATGGGGTTGGGGAGAAATAAGTATAGATATTTGAGTTAATTTGCTTAATAAGCAATATTGAGATATGTGGATGAGACCCACTCCCCTGCCCCATATTCAAACGCATCCATACCACATGCACATAGAAATTAGAGTAAAAGCATAACAGCAAAAAAAATCTACATTCAAATTGATCAAAAAAATTCCTTGGTGCCATTAAAAATAGAAGAGAGAGAGAGAGAGAGATAGGGAGAGATAGGGATTGCCAGGCCACCAGCAGGGTATATACAGAGATTAGACCACAGAGAGGCTTTGGAGTCTGGAGACTGAAAACAGAGGCTCTATTACCTACAGAGGCTGAGTGTTACCTTAATTAAGATTTTCATAATATGCCCACAATGTCAAAGTGAAATTGTGCTCATGGCATAAAGCCTGGGATGATAGAGTTACTCATCTATCAAAATTGGACCAAAAAACTTATGCCAGCTACACAAAGAAAGCAGGAGGAAAAAATTTAATGCTGATAGGAACAGGAATGGGAAAATAAGTAACTTATACATTGAAACCCCAATCCTGTGCCAAAGGCAAATTGTAATCTGTGTACATCTTCCCACTTGGTTTTTCAAACTAAAGCCATTAAAGTGCGTATAAAATTGAACCAGGACCATTGGTATACCAGGATGTTTTAGTCTTTTCAGCCTGCTTTAACTAGGATTGGGTTATTTATAAACAACAAAATTTATTGCTCACAGTTCTGTTGGTTGTGGGGTCCATAATCAAAGCACCAGCAAATTCTTTGTCTAGCTTGCTCTCTGCTTCATAAATGGCATTTTCTTTCTGTGTCCTCACATGGTGGAGGGGGTGAACAAGCTTCCTCAGGCCTCTTTTATAAGGGAATCCATTTATGACAATGTGTCCCTCGTGACCTGATCACCTCCCAAAGGCCTCACTTCTTAATACCATCACCTTGGAGGTTAGGTTTCAACATATGAATTTTGGGAGGACACAAACATTCAGACCATAGCATAAGAGTTAAAACATAAGCAAACATTAAACTACTCTATTTACAAAATGTAAGTGTTACTCTCACTTTGTCTCAGTATCTCTGTATTTCACGTGTACACACATACAAGTTCATTTTAACTAAAGAGAGAATAACTAATCAAAATCATAATTTTAAAAGTATCAGAAAACTGATTCTAAAGATGAAATTCAAAAACTGTAGGGACATTAAACAGGAAAATTGTCATAGTTTGCATAATACATTTACTGAGTAATCTGAGAAAATTTTCTAGGATGTAGTTCAGAGAAGTAAAAATGTTGAAACTATAATAAAATATGTTAAGGTCCTAGAGGATATGAAGAGAACATTTAGCTCAAGTCTAATAGCAGTTATAGAAGGAGGTAAAAGAGCATGTTTGAATACATGACTAAGAATGTGTGATAAAGCTCTATCTGGACATGTTTAGCCATGATAACATATATATTTTTTAAAAACTTTAAAGTTCTTGAAACGTTGATCTAGTTAAACATTCATCTCAAGAAGATAGAAAATAAAAGTTAGTATAAATATGTAGAAGGTACAAAATGAATTTGTGACCAGAAATTGTTATTGATCCTAGGTTTGGCTGCTTGCCACTCAAAAGCCAGACATGAGAGGTGAGGGTTGGCGGGAGAAAAATTATGTTTATTTGGAAAGCCATCAAAACCAAGAAGATGGTGGACTATAGTCACAAAGACCATCTTAAATTTTAACATTTGCATAGAGTTTTTAAAGGGAAACTTGTTATGGGAGACATGCAGGAATGGTGCTGGGTGCAGGATCTCTGTGTTCCAAAAATTGCCACAAATGTAGTGGCTTAACACAGCACACATTTATTATCTCACAATTTCTATGGTTCAGAAGTCCAGGCATGGCTTAACTGGATCCTAGCTTATTTAATTTGTGTTTGATTAGAGATTGTGTTTAAGATCCTTGTGTCAGTGAAGTTACAGCTTCATGCTGATAGGTTTATGTGTGGTTTGGGGAATGCTCTCAAGTCTGCCACATTTTCTGCTCTGATGGCTCCTAAATGGGTGCAGCTTAGCACATCTTCACAGCCTTATCAACTCTCTGAGTTGATTGTGATCCATATTACAGAGCAGATATGTTTCCGTAGAAAAAGTGGATCCCCACTCAGTTCTGGTGCAGTAGTGCAGGAGTACCACTTAGGGGAAAAGCAGGGCATAAATCCAAAGTGATCTGCCGTTCTTCTTTTGAGGATAGACTTTATTTGGAATAGAGAGTGGAGAAATACATGATTTAGATTGTTGACAACTAATGTCGATCTTGGTGAAGAGCTATTAGGAGGAGGCTGAGAGCTGCATGATAAAAACAACATGGGATAGCAATCAGAAATTTCATGAAGAGAAACAGGAAATAGTAGCCAAGAAATGCCCTTCTGGGATCACAATAAATGCCTATATTAAAAAGAAGGAAGTTCTCACATCAATGAACTAAACTTCCACCTTAATAAACTCGAAAAAATAAACTAGAACCAAAGCAAGCAAACAGAAGGAAATAACATTAGAATAGAAGGGAAATAGAAAATAAAACAAAAAAAAAAAAAAAGAAAAAAGAAAAAAATCACCAAACCATAATCTGGCTCTTTGTAAAGATGAGCAAAATTAGCAAACAATTAGACTGAAAGGAAAAAGAGACAAAACAAAACTACTAAAATAAAAAATGAAACTGGGACATTAGTAGTAACCTTTGAGAAGTAAAAAGGTTTATGAAAGAATATTACAAACAACAGCATGCCAACATATTAAATAATGTAGATGAGATGAAAAGTTGTTAAAAATATACAAATTATCAAAACTGACTGAAGAAAAAATAGAAAATCTGTATAGAACTATGACATGTACAGATAAAATTAATAATTTAAAACTCCCACAATGAAAATTCCAGGTTCAAATATCTTCACTAATGAGTTTTACCATTCAAAGAAAGAATTAAATAAAATGTTCATAATCTTTTCAAAGATTAGAAGTGAACACTTTCCGGATAAATTCCTCGACACATACACCCTCCCAAGACTAAACCAGGAAGAAGTTGAATCTCTGAATAGACCGATAGCAGGCTCTGAAATTGAGGCAATAATTAATAGCGTACCAACCAAAAAAAGTCCAGGACCAGATGGATTCACAGCTGAATTCTACCAGAGGTACAAGGGGGAGCTGGTACCATTCCTTCTGAAACTATTCCAATCAATAAAAAAAGAGGGAATCGTCCCTAACTCATTTTATGAGGCCAGCATCATCCTGATACCAAAGCCTGGCAGAGACATAACAAAAAAAGAGAATTTTAGACCAATATCCCTGATGAACATCGATGCAAAAATCCTCAATAAAATAATGGCAAACCGAATCCAGCAGCACATCAAAAAGCTTATCCACCATGATCAAGTGGACTTCATCCCTGGGATGCAAGTCTGGTTCAACATATGCAAATCAATAAATGTAATCCAGCATATAAACAGAACCAAAGACAAAAACCACATGACTATCTCAATAGATGCAGAAAAGGCCATTGACAAAATTCAACAACCCTTCATGATAAAAACTCTCAATAAATTAGGTATTAATGAGATGTATCTCAAAATAATAAGAGCTATCTATTACAAACCCACAGCCAATATCATAATGAATGGGCAAAAATTGGAAACATTCCCTTTGAAAACTGGCAGAAGACAGGGATGCCCTCTCACCACTCCTATTCAACGTAGTGTTGGAAGTTCTGGCCAGGGCAATCAGGCAGGAGAAGGAAATAAAAGGATATTCAATTAAGAAAAGAGGAAGTCAAATTGTCCCTGTTTGCAGATGACATGATTGTATATCTAGAAAACCCCATCGTCTCAGCCCAAAATCTCCTTAAGCTGATAAGCAAATTCAGCCAAGTCTCAGGATACAAAATCAATGTGCAAAAATCACAAGCACTCTTATACACCAATAACAGACAAACAGAGAGCCAAATCATGAGTGAACTCCCATTCACAATTGCTTCAAAGAGAATAAAATACCTAGGAATCCAACTTGCAAGGGATGTGAAAGACCTCTTCAAGGAGAACTACAAACCACTGCTCAAGGAAATAAAAGAGTATACAAACAAATGGAAGAACATTCCATGCTCATGGGTAGGAAGAATCAATATCATGAAAATGGCCATACTGTCCAAGGTAATTTATAGATTCAATGCCATCCCCATCAAGCTACCAATGACTTTCTTCACAGAATTGGAAAAAACTACTTTAAAGTTTATATGGAACAAAAAAAGAGCCCGCATTGCCAAATCAATCCTAAGCCGAAAGAACAAAGCTGGAGGCATCACGCTACCTGACTTCAAACTATACTACAAGGCTACAGTAACCAAAACAGCATGGTACTGGTACCAAAACAGAGATATAGACCAATGGAACAGAACAGAGCTCTCAGAAATAATGCCACATATCTACAGCTATCTGATCTTTGACAAACCTGACAAAAGCAAGCAATGGGGAAAGGATTCCCTATTTAATAAATGGTGCTGGGAATACTGGCTAGCCATATGTGGAAAGCTGAAACTGGATCTCTTCCTTACAAGTTGTACAAAAATTAATTCGAGATGGATTAAAGACTTAAATGTTAGACCTAAAACCATAAAAATCCTAGAAGAAAACATAAGCAATACCATTCAGGACATAGGCATGGGCAAGGATTTCATGTCTAAGACACCAAAAGCAATGGCAACAAAAGCCAAAATGGACAAATGGAATCTAATTAAACTCAAGAGCTTCTGCACAGCAAAAGAAACTACCATCAGAGTGAACAGGCAACCTACAGAATGGGAGAAAATTTTTGCAATCTACTCATCTGACAAAGGGCTAATATCCAGAATCTACAATGATCTCAAACAAATTTACAAGAAAAAAACAAACAACCCCATCAACAAGTGGGCGAAGGACATGAACAGAAACTTCTCAAAAGAAGACATTTATGCAACCAAAAGACACATGAAAAAAATGCTCATCATCACTTGCCATCAGAGAAATGCAAATCAAAACCACAATGAGATACCATCTCACACCAGTTAAATGGCGATCATTAAAAATTCAGGAAACAACAGGTGCTGGAGAGGATGTGGAGAAATAGGAACACTTTTACACTGTTGGTGGGACTGTAAACTAGTTCAACCATTGTGGAAGTCAGTGTGGCCATTCCTCAAGGATCTAGAACTAGAAATACCATTTGACCCAGCCATCCCATTGCTGGGTATATACCCAGAGGATTATAAATCATGCTGCTATAAAGACACATGCACACGTATGTTTATTGCGAGACTATTCACAATAGCAAAGACTTGGAACCAACCCAAATGTCCAACAATGATAGACTGGATTAAGAAAATGTGGCACATATACACCATGGAATACTATGCAGCCATAAAAAATGATGAGTTCATGTCCTTTGTAGGGGCATGGATGAAGCTGGAAACCATCATTCTCAGCAAACTGTCGCAAGGACAAAAAACCGAACACCGCGTGTTCTCACTCATAGGTGGGAATTGAACAATGAGAACACATGGACACAGTAAGGGGAACATCACACACCGGGGCCTGTTGTAGGGTGGGAGGAGGGGGGAGGGATAGCATTAGGAGATATACCTAATGTTAAATGACGAGTTAATGGGTGCAGCACACCAACATGGCACATGTATATATATGTAACAAACCTGCACATTGTGCACATGTATCCTAAAACTTAAAGTATAATAAAAGAAAAAAAAAAAGAAGTGAACACTTTCCAACTTATTTTACAAGGCCAGTATTTTTTTAATGCCAAAACCAGACAAAGACAGAAAAAGAAAACTATATATCAATATCCCTTATTAATATACGTGTAAGTCTTCATCAAAATACTACAAACCAAATCCAGCACCTATAAAATGGATTGTGCACTATTGCAAAGAGGGACCTCTCAGGGATGCAAATAGGTTTAACTTCTGTAGATCAATTAATGTAATATACCATAGTAATTAAATAAGGAGCAAAAACCATATGAATCTTAATAGACGGAGAAAAAGTGTCTGACAAAAATTAACACCTTTTCATGGTAAGACACAAAAACAAAACAAACTAAAAATCCTAGGAATAGAAAGGAATGACCTTATCCAGAGAAAGGGTATCCATCAATGCATAAAATGTATGTAGATACTAGTGTACTTTATCATTTACTACTATAAAATATACTCAAATTTATTATAAAAAGTTAAAATTTACTCACATAAACACAGACCATGATACCATTCTCAATTGAGAGAAATATAAACAAACATAAAATCCTAAGTGCATAAAATTAATGGCAGTACAAACTATCCTATTGTAATAATTTATAACCATCTCCTTGTTGCTATTGCAGTGAACTCAAGGGTTGAAGGCATCCATTTTACATATTGTATAATGTTAATCATCTTTGCATGAGCAATATGTCTCTCAACTAAATTGCATATTCCAGTGGAAAGTGATCTCTCACAGTTCTGGTGTATTTTTCATTTTGTTAAATGTAGTATCATAAACCTTGAATAACACCATGAGACCTATATGAAGTGCCACTAGTGATCCTGTAAGTCCTCTCAGAAAGCAAAGCAAAGTCATGATATTACAAGAAAAAAATAATAACTTGATATGTACTGTAGATTGAGGCCTGTAGCTGCAGTTGCCTGCCATTTCACACAGACTATGCGTCTTCTAAACAGGTGACATAAACTTACGGTTGGATAAACATAGTAAATACTACAAATATATTTTCTGTTCCTTATGATTTTCATAGTAACATTTTCTTTTCTTCAGCTTATTTTTTATAAGAATACAGAATATAACACATATGATATACAAAGTATGAGTTAATCAACTGTCTAGTTATTGGTAAGGCTTCCAGTCAACAGTAGGCTTAGTGGTTAAGTCATTGAGGACTCCAAAGTTATATGTAGATTTTTAACTACACAAGAGGTCAGTTTCCCTAACCCCCATGTTGTTCAAGGGTCAACTCTATTGCTAAGATGACAATTTCAATCCAATCTGTATCAAAATCCCTAGTATCTTTTTTCCAGAAATTTACAAGCCAATCATGAAATTTTAAGATGGAAATATAAATAGCCAAAACAATCATGAAAATGAAAAAGAAATTTAAAGAACTCAAACAGTTAATTTCAAAATATACTACAAAGCTACAATATTCAAGATGGTTTGGTATTAGCATAAAGATTAAAACAAAGACTAATGGAATAGAATTGAGATTCCAGAAATAAATCCATAAATCTGTGGTCAATTGATTTTTTATAATAATGCCAAGATCATTCAATAGGTAAAGAATAGTGTTTTCAACAAATGGTACTGGGAAAACTGGTTAGTCACATGTAAAGCAATGAAGTTGGAGCACTACCTCACACCATGCACCAAAACTAACTCAAAATGGATCATAGATCTTAATATATGAGTTAAAACTATATGATTCTTGTAGGAAATCATAGGAGTAAATCTAGGTTAGGCAGTGGTATTTTAGATATGACATCAAAATCACAAGCAACAAAATAAAAAAAAGTTAGACTATTAAAATTTTTTAAAAGTTTGTGCTATAAATGACAGCCGTCAAGAAAATGAAAACACAGCCCAAAGAATGGAAGAAAATATTAGCAAATCATGTATCTGATAAGGGTCTTATAGCCAGAACATGTAAATAACTCATATCTCAATAAGAAAAAAAAATTAAAACTGGATATATAATCTGCATAGACATTTATCCAAGGAAGGTATATAAAAGTCGATAAACATATGAAAAGATGTTCAATATCATTTTCCATCAGTCAACTTCAAATCATAACAACTTCACACCCACTAGGATGATTACAATCCAAAAACAAACAATTACAAGTGTTGACCGAGAAGTGGAAAAACAGTCCCACATGCATTACAGGTGGGACTGTTAAATCTTGCAGCCACTTTGGAAAACAATTGGATGCTTCTTCAAAATGTTAAACTTAGAATTCCCATATAATCCAGCAATTTCACTTCTAAACATAAGAGATAAAAGTATTCAACTCACACAAAAAGCTGTACACAAAATTTTCTAACAACATTATTATAATAGCCACAATGTGGACACAACTCAAGTGTCCGCTGTTAAATAGACAAAATATATCCACATAATTGAATATTTTTAGCAATAAATAAATAAAGTTCCAACACATGTATGAACCTAAAAGACAGTAAGCTAAAGGAAAAACCACATGTTGTACGACCGTATTTAAATAAAATGTGCAGTCTAGGTAAAACTAAGCAAATGTATAGAGATGGAAGTAGATTAATGGATGTTTAAGTGTAGGGGTCCAATGGGTAGTAACTAGTATTAAGTATGGGATTTTTTTACAGAGGACTTAAACATTCTAAACTTAGATTTTGGCAATGGTTGTATAACCCTGTGAACATACGTAAAAAATTGAATTGTACACTTTTAATGAACTAATTTTATGGTACGTAAACTATATATCAATAAATATGTTTAAAATATTCAAACCAATAGTCTGAGACTTTCTGGAGGGCTCTATACTGTTCATAAAATCATCTGTAGAGGTACATGACTGAATGTACACTCAGTACAATGAAGAGTTAGCAGCCATGACAATTTAAATTTATCAGCAGAGCTCTTAATTAGTTTGGACAGAGCCTATTGTCTTACTAGAATCATGTACAAGCATGAGACACATTGAGTTTAATATAGAACATTTCTGTTACTGGTGTAAAAAACTTCCTTTAAAATATGTAGTACCTTTACTAGTTTCTAATACCGCTAAGTGGGTATTAAGAAAAACTTAATGGGTATTAAGAAATTTGGATTTCCTGTTTAGTTTTCTAACAGATCCATATCATTTTTAGTTAAGGATTTCAGAAAAGCGGATGGGAATACTAACTGGAATTGGGTAAAAAGTAACCTAAGTAATCTGCTCAGTCCCCAATTCTCTATCTAATTGAACAGATTGACAATATTTAAATGAGATACTAAACAGTTTGCTGTTGTTCCTTAAAATATTAAGTTAAAATTTAAAACTTAAGTTACAAAATTAACTTTTTAATTTACTCCCACTGCTGAATTAATATTTAACCTTAAGAAACTAAAGGCATATCTTTTTTATAATGGTTAGAACTATCTGTATGGTATGCAATAAAATAATAAACAACACTATAGTTAATTTTTAAGCAGCCCAAACCTTGAATAATCTAGATACCATCCAGGACAAAAAAGCAGTTACTTATTTTAAAATGTTTCACTTGGAAATGAATTTATATTTAGAATGTAAATTACATAGAGCCAAAGATTATTGTTTCATTTGCTTCTATGTCCCCTAGAAAACTGCCTGTCACATAATGTATGCTCAATAAGCCCCTCTTAATGGATTAATTTGTCCTTATCAAACATAAGCATATATATTTATTTCATGAAATTATATAGAGATGGAAAACTTCTTTAAAGAACAAACATCTCTAATTTGCACATGTAAGCACAACATACAAGAGACTTATGTGACATTTAAACAAAACATTTACTTAGAAAGCCAATATTTCATCTCATGCAATAATGAAAAATCTGATAGCTCCATTATGGCTCATTTAAAGAAAGTCAAAATTCTAAAATATTAGAGTGCAGTTGTCATTAAGATGTTACTTTTATGACTACTTGAAAGGCTAAAGAAATATCTGTTAAGTATTAAAAGGGCAAAGATTTAGATAAAAATGGAATTGTGCAGCCACATTTCACTGTACTGAGTGTACATTCAGTCAGGTACCTCTACAGATGATTTTATGAACTGTATAGAACTCTAGAAACATTTTTATTCAGACAATTGAATAGGCTGAAAAAATAGGGTTTGCTTTTGAGCTGTAGTTATAATTAAGATTAGGACTGTTTGTTAATATAATAGTTTTCACTTAATAATGATATTTTTAATGAATCTTTTTGAGTAAAAACTTGAGCTTGAAGAATGTACCCCTAATACAGTTGTATAAATATGGCAAAGACGTGTCTTTGAATACATTTAAGGACTCTCCACACAGGATGAAAAACATTTAAAACATGACCAAAGGCTCTTTAGATGTCTCTATGAAAGAAAAATATGATTAGCACAAAAAAACAATGCAGAAGCATAGTAAATAATTATTTATAGCAGAATGAATGGTACATGAATTGTGTATGTGTTGACATTATTAAAATTCATGTTGAATCATTTTTATAAGCATATTCTAGTTTCTTTGTTATTTTGGTAAAACATGGATCATTCTTTTTTTTTTTTTATACTTTAAGTTTTAGGGTACATGTGCACATTGTGCAGGTTAGTTACATATGTATACATGTGCCATGCTGGTGCGCTGCACCCACTAACTCGTCATCTAGCATTAGGTATATCTCCCAATGCTATCCCTCCCCCCTCCCCCCACCCCACCACAGTCCCCAGAGTGTGATATTCCCATTCCTGTGTCCATGTGATCTCATTGTTCAATTCCCACCTATGAGTGAGAATATGCGGTGTTTGGTTTTTTGTTCTTGCGATAGTTTACTGAGAATGATGATTTCCAATTTCATCCATGTCCCTACAAAGGATATGAACTCATCATTTTTTATGGGTGCATAGTATTCCATGGTGTATATGTACCACATTTTCTTAATCCAGTCTATCATTGTTGGACATTTGGGTTGGTTCCAAGTCTTTGCTATTGTGAATAATGCCGCAATAAACATACATGTGCATGTGTCTTTATAGCAGCATGATTTATAGTCATTTGGGTATATACCCAGTAATGGAATGGCTGGGTCAAATGGTATTTGTAGTTCTAGATCCCTGAGGAATGGCCACACTGACTTCCACAATGGTTGAACTAGTTTACAGTCCCACCAACAGTGTAAAAGTGTTCCTATTTCTCCACATCCTCTCCAGCACCTGTTGTTTCCTGACTTTTTAATGATTGCCATTCTAACTGGTGTGAGATGGTATCTCATTGTGGTTTTGATTTGCGTTTCTCTGATGGCTAGTGATGACGAGCATTTTTTCATGTGTTTTTTTGGCTGCATAAATGTCTTCTTTTGAGAAGTGTCTGTTCATGTCCTTCACCCACTTTTTGATGGGGTTGTTTGTTTTTTTCTTGTAAATTTGTTTGAGTTCATTGTAGATTCTGGATATTAGCCCTTTGTCAGATGAGTAGGTTGCGAAAATTTTCTCCCATTTTGTAGGTTGCCTGTTCACTCTGATGGTAGTTTCTTTTGCTGTGCAGAAGCTGTTTAGTTTAATTAGATCCCATTTGTCAATTTTGGCTTTTGTTGCCATTGCTTTTGGTGTTTTAGACATGAAGCCCTTGCCCATGCCTGTGACCTGAATGGTAATGCCTAGGTTTTCTTCTAGGGTTTTTATGGTTTTAGGTCTAACGTTCAAATCTTTAATCCATCTTGAATTGATTTTTGTATAAGGTGTAAGGAAGGGATCCAGTTTCAGCTTTCTACATATGGCTAGCCAGTTTTCCCAGCACCATTTATTAAATAGGGAATCCTTTCCCCATTGCTTGTTTTTCTCAGGTTTGTCAAAGATCAGATAGTTGTAGGTATGCGGCGTTATTTCTGAGGGCTCTGTTGTGTTCCATTGATCTATATCTCTGTTTTGGTACCAGTACCATGCTGTTTTGGTTACTGTAGCCTTGTAGTATAGTTTGAAGTCAGGTAGTGTGATGCCTCCAGCTTTGTTCTTTTGGCTTAGGATTGACTTGGCGATGTGGGCTCTTTTTTTGTTCCATATGAACTTTAAAGTAGTTTTTTCCAATTCTGTGAAGAAAGTCATTGGTAGCTTGATGGGGATGGCATTGAATCTGTAAATTACCTTGGGCAGTATGGCCATTTTCACAATATTGATTCTTCCTACCCATGAGCATGGAATGTTCTTCCATTTGTTTGTATACTCTTTTATTTCCTTGAACAGTGGTTTGTAGTTCTCCTTGAAGAGGTCCTTCACGTCCCTTGTAAGTTGGATTCCTAGGTATTTTATTCTCTTTGAAGCAATTGTGAATGGGAGTTCACTCATGATTTGGGTCTCTGTTTGTCTGTTGTTGGTGTATAAGAACGCTTGTGATTTTTGTACATTGATTTTGTATCCTGAGAC
This sequence comes from Homo sapiens, assembly GCF_000001405.40. NCBI lineage: Eukaryota > Metazoa > Chordata > Mammalia > Primates > Hominidae > Homo > Homo sapiens. The sequence continues at coordinate 62,063,930 of NC_000006.12, read as the reverse complement.
TTTGCTGAAGTTGCTTATCAGCTTAAGGAGATTTTGGGCTGAGACAATGGGGTTTTCTAGATATACAATCATGTCATCTGCAAACAGGGACAATTTGACTTCCTCTTTTCCTAATTGAATACCCTTTATTTCCTTCTCCTGCCTAATTGCCCTGGCCAGAACTTCCAACACTATGTTGAATAGGAGTGGTGAGAGAGGGCATCCCTGTCTTGTGCCAGTTTTCAAAGGGAATGCTTCCAGTTTTTGCCCATTCAGTATGATATTGGCTGTGGGTTTGTCATAGATAGCTCTTATTATTTTGAAATACATCCCATCAATACCTAATTTATTGAGAGTTTTTATCATGAAGGGTTGTTGAATTTTGTCAAAGGCTTTTTCTGCATCTATTGAGATAATCATGTGGTTTTTGTCTGTGGCTCTGTTTATATGCTGGATTACATTTATTGATTTGCGTATATTGAACCAGCCTTGCATCCCAGGGATGAAGCCCACTTGATCATGGTGGGTAAGCTTTTTGATGTCCTGCTGGATTCGGTTTGCCAGTATTTTATTGAGGATTTTTGCATCAATGTTCATCAAGGATATTGGTCTAAAATTCTCTTGTTCGGTTGTGTCTCTGCCCGGCTTTGGTATCAGAATGATGCTGGCCTCATAAAATGAGTTAGGGAGGATTCCCTCTTTTTCTATTGATTGGAATAGTTTCAGAAGGAATGGTACCAGTTCCTCCGTGTACCTCTGGTAGAATTCGGCTGTGAATCCATCTGGTCCTGGACTCTTTTTGGTTGGTAAACTATTGATTATTGCCTCAATTTCAGATCCTGTTATTGGTCTATTCAGAGATTCAACTTCTTCCTGGTTTAGTCTTGGGAGAGTGTATGTGTCGAGGAATGTATCCATTTCTTCTAGATTTTCTAGTTTATTTGCATAGAGTTGTTTGTAGTATTCTCTGATGGTAGTTTGTATTTCTGTGGGATCGGTGGTGATATCCCCTTTATCATTTTTTATTGCGTCTATTTGATTCTTCTCTCTTTTTTTCTTTATTAGTCTTGCTAGCAGTCTATCAATTTTGTTGATCCTTTCAAAAAACCAGCTCCTGGATTCATTGATTTTTTGAAGGGTTTTTTGTGTCTCTATTTCCTTCAGTTCTGCTCTGATTTTCGTTATTTCTTGCCTTCTGCCAGCTTTTGAATGTGTTTGCTCTTGCTTTTCTAGTTCTTTTAATTGTGATGTTAGGGTGTCAATTTTGGATCTTTCCTGCTTTCTCTTGTGGGCATTTAGTGCTGTAAATTTCCCTCTACACACTGCTTTGAATGCGTCCCAGAGATTCTGGTATGTTGTGTCTTTGTTCTTCTTGGTTTCAAAGAACATCTTTATTTCTGCCTTCATTTTGTTATGTACCCAGTAGTCATTCAGGAGCAGGTTGTTCAGTTTCCACGTAGCTGAGCGGCTTTGAGTGAGATTCTTAATCCTGAGTTCTAGTTTGATTGCACTGTGGTCTGAGAGATAGTTTGTTATAATTTCTGTTCTTTTACATTTGCTGAGGAGAGCTTTACTTCCAAGTATGTGGTCAATTTTGGAATAGGTGTGGTGTGGTGCTGAAAAAAATGTATATTCTGTTGATTTGGGGTGGAAAGTTCTGTAGACGTCTATTAGGTCTGCTTGGTGCAGAGCTGAGTTCAATTCCTGGGTATCCTTGCTGACTTTCTGTCTCGTTGATCTGTCTAATGTTGACAGTGGGGTGTTAAAGTCTCCCATTATTAATGTGTGGGAGTCTAAGTCTCTTTGTAGGTCACTCAGGACTTGCTTTATGAATCTGGGTGCTCCTGTATTGGGTGCATATATATTTAGGATAGTTAGCTCTTCTTGTTGAATTGATCCCTTTACCATTATGTAATGGCCTTCTTTGATGGAGCTGAAAACCAAGGCTCGAGAACTACGTGAAGAATGCAGGAGCCTCAGGAGCCGATGTGATCAACTGGAAGAAAGGGTATCAGCGATGGAAGATGAAATAAATGAAATGAAGCGAGAAGGGAAGTTTAGAGAAAAAAGAATAAAAAGAAATGAGCAAAGCCTCCAAGAAATATGGGACTATGTGAAAAGACCAAATCTACGTCTGATTGGTGTACCTGAAAGTGATGGGGAGAATGGAACCAAGTTGGAAAACACTCTGCAGGATATTATCCAGGAGAACTTCCCCAATCTAGCAAGGCAGGCCAACGTTCAGATTCAGGAAATACAGAGAAGGCCACAAAGATACTCCTCAAGAAGAGCAACTCCAAGACACATAATTGTCAGATTCACCAAAGTTGAAATGAAGGAAAAAATGTTAAGGGCAGCCAGAGAGAAAGCTCGGGTTACCCTCAAAGGGAAGCCCATCAGACTAACAGCGGATCTCTTGGCAGAAACCCTACAAGCCAGAAGAGAGTGGGGGCCAATATTCAACATTCTTAAAGAAAAGAATTTTGAACCCAGAATTTCATATCCAGCCAAACTAAGCTTCATAAGTGAAGGAGAAATAAAATCCTTTACAGACAAGCAAATGCTGAGAGATTTTGTCACCACCAGGCCTGCCCTAAAAGAGCTCCTGAAGGAAGCGCTGAACATGGAAAGGAACAACCGGTACCAGCCGCTGCAAAATCATGCCGAAATGTAAAGACCATCGAGACTAGGAAGAAACTGCATCAACTAACGAGCAAAATCACCAGCTAACATCATAATGACAGGATCAAATTCACACATAACAATATTAACTCTAAATGTAAATGGACTAAATGCTCCAATTAAAAGACACAGACTGGCAAATTGGATAAAGAGTCAAGACCCATCAGTGTGCTGTATTCAGGAAACCCATCTAACTTTCAGAGACACACATAGGCTCAAAATAAAAGGATGGAGGAAGATCTACCAAGCAAATGGAAAACAAAAAAAGGCAAGGGTTGCAATCCTAGTCTCTGATAAAACAGACTTTAAACCAACAAAGATCAAAACATGGATCATTCTGTAAAGTATAATATGATTTTAACATAGACCATGTTATTTTGAAACATCTGGGGCATATATTGATTAAGCACACAATATATCTAATCAACAGATTTGAAAGGACCCACATTTTTCTACTTAGTATAAATGAATTATATTCTCCAACTATGTGTACTTTCTTCAAATTCAAGTGTTTTCTTCAATAGAGCAATGCCAAGTGGGATTTTTGGGTCTTATAGCAGACAAGAGCAATTGTTTTTAATACTTGTGGTAGATATTTCTCTTTTAAATTTGTTTTAGTTCATATATATATATATAGAGAGAGAGAGAGAGAGAGAGAGACAGAGAGAGAGAGAGAGACCTTTACTATTTCATTTTATAATGTTATACAAATTATGAGATTAAGTATATTGTAAGGTTGGTATCTTGGCCTAGAATCATCATTTTTCCTAATTGCCAAATCCAGTGAATTATTTCACTTTTTCTCAAACTCTAAATTACTCCCATCTATAGCCTTTGCTGTCATGTTGGTTTCCAGATTTCTATAGGTCTTTGTGTAGTCTTCCAATCCTCAAACTGCAGTCAGAGTTTAAATTTACATTTAAAGTCAGCGTTAAATGTAAATGTTAATCATACCACAGCCTACTTCCCACTCACCCCCAGCCCATCCCTCAATTCAAACCCTTCAATTGAACTACATTGCTTTTACCTAAAGATCAGAATTTTCAACAGGGTCAATAAGTGCCTGAATATTTTTTTCTATATCACCCCTTCAAAACGAATTACTTTCTGTTTATCAAATTTGTTACGCTCTTGGGGTTTTCTCACATGTTACTCCTTCTGCCAGGAAAGTCCCCATCAGCACCCTTCTCTCCTGTCCCCGCCCCAACTTCTCATACATCTTAGCTTAAAGCTAGAGAAATGCTTCCTTTCCAGGGAAGGTTTCCTGCTGATTCTGGTTATACATTCCTGTAGAATTCTAGACTTTACCTTGCACATAGTTAGGCACATAATTGTCATATGATACATATTTGCTGATTAACTGATTTATAAAAAGTTTTCCCTTGTTTTTTTAAATTTTGTATTCTTCCAGAAATTATTTACCCTTCTTCCTTATTTTTTCTTCTGAATATACGTGTTCCTCAAGTTTCTTTCCTATGCTATCCTTCTCCCTTAGCAATTTCATGACTTGAAATACTACCCCTGTATAGAAAATTACAACGTATATATTTTCATCTTAGATTTATCTCTCAAGGTCTACCCATACATGATTGCTAGGTTTCTCCATTTGGAAGGCATCTCAAATGGAATATACTCCAATTTTTTCTCTAACGTTTTTGTTCCTGTATTCCGTAATTTTATTAATGGTACACTATCTTTCTAATTATCTGTGATTAGAATTTATTTTGATTACTACTTCACACTACTCTCTTCATATTCCCTCCAACTTAATATAATAAATTGCCATGTCTTATTGAGGATATTGCTTCAGTCTCATCTCCTTTTCTTTCTTCTGTTGTCATCATTCTGCTTCATGTTCCCATTATCATTTATCGAGCTTACACCAAACAACTTCTCATGGGCTCTGCCATGTTTAGCTTTTTCCTGCTCCACTACATCTGCCCCATATGTTTTTTCTTTTTTGGAACTTGTTTCTGTCACTGCCTTTTTCCATACCCAGCTTCAAGCTCCCTATTCAGTGCTCAGTGCTCAGCACAAAAAAAAAAAAAAAAAAAAAAAAAAAAAAAAAAAACTTCCTAACTTTTCTATGTGGAAATAATTTTTTCTTCCTTTGAATTCTATAGCACTTAATCTGTACTGCTTCTATGGCACTATTAGTTTTTTGTTTAAACTACAATATAATTGTTTATGTACAGCCCCTTTCCCCTCAGTGGAGTTCTAAGTTTTCTGAAAGAGGTATTTATATTTGGTTCTTTCATATGTTTCCTAAGTTTCAGGTGCTAAGCAAATGTGGTTACTTGTGAGTGACTGAACTGATTTTATTTTATATGAATTTTACATATTTTATTTTATACAAATATGTCCATTGAATAAATTATATTTGTGGTAATATATTGATATTAGCTTTAATGGTTAATTCTAAATCATTCTGCTTTTCTTCTCTGTTTTCTTCAATACTCATCATTGTCTATTTTGCTACACTGGGATTGGTTTTCTTTGGTAGAAACCTCTGTAAATTCCAAATGAAATTAATTTTACAGGCATAGCTTGATATTTTTGCAATAGAATAAAATAATGTTCTACTCTATTCTAATAAAACTATTCTCTTGCTCACCAATGTTTTTTGATGATTGGTACTATGAATACCTGAAATGTTGTCATTTCCTCTCTATTTATACAAGAAGAATATTTTTGATCTGTGTCTACGGTCCCACTTAGTGCAATCTGCCCTAGATTGCTTTAATTTGTTTTAATGGCAACAAACACAAGGATAGAGCACTAAAGTATGATTTAATGTTGAGTTGCCAAAGCACAGAACAGTCGCTGTGTGAATTCCCACTGATTAAAAAGGAGATTCATCCCCAAATCAGGAATATGATGGACGTGAAAGTAACATTCCAATATTTTCAATTGTTAGGACAAAAGGAATTTGAGTATCAACGAATGATGGAATTCAAGACCAGCTGTATCAAATGAAAAATGAAGAATTCTCTCTGCAGGAGAGATTGGCTGTTCAGGAATTCTTCACAGGTGATGCCAGTGAGCAACACTGGCCTTGCATCACATAGCAGATACAGTTTCAGTGCCCATAAAAAGTGAAAGAGTAGTTGTATTGCCTATCTTATTTGAGAAAGGACAGACTTGATGGAATTAGTTTATAAACATGTGACCAGAAAAATGCCACGTGTAAAAAAAGAAAAGATGTTTTAATGTATTAATGAAATAATGTTAATAATGAAGAATTTAAAAATATATATGCCCAATATTATTGATGTGACTTAATTTTAAACTGTTGTTGGGTAAACTATGTTAAAAATGTCCCTAAAATATTTTTCTTAAAATGGCCTGACACTTATGATAATCACTCGTTTTGCCACCAATTATGTTTTGTTGCTTTTCAAATCCATTGAAATATATTATTTTGGTTAATAGACATGTTATTACAAAACAACTGTTTAATGACAAGCATAAATGAATTTGACTTATACAAATTTAATTGTCTTAAACACGTGTGAATAAAATACCTTGAAATTATTTGAAGATATTTAATCCACTGAAAACACAGCTGTGTTCACTCTGCTAAGCCTTAAGAATCTTAGACATTTCTAAGTTACTAAATTATGGTTAAATATTGAAGACACTGGTGTGTAGTGTTTGATTTATTTTCTGTCTTCAAAAGAGGTTGAAAGAAAAGGTTAGAACCAATTGCTGACTGTGAACTGATAATTCACCTGTCATGATTATGTCAATTGGTTTTGTTTGAAGGGGAACTGAGTATAGGTTGAAAGTAAGTGGAAAAAAATCTTAGTAGAACAACTTTTGTGTTGACTAGTTTCAGTTTATCTTAAAATAAATTTCCAAGAACTAAGAACAGCATCAGAAATATGTAACCAGCTTAGTGATTACTTTTTTTTTCTAATACTTTAAATCTCAAATAGAAATGGTATCTGATCTTTCATGGAAAAGCCTTCTGAGCCTTTCCAGAGTGTTGTCTCCAAAAACTTCAGAAATTGTGGCAGGGATAGAATCACATAAATAGACTTAAACTGTGACAGGTAAATACTTTTGAGCAAGAGCAAATGGTAGATTGTACTTTTATAAATTTTAAAACATGCACATTAAAAGAAAAGTTGCTTACTTAAAATACTTTTATATAGTTAATGTTGCTCATAAAAGCCAACTTTCTCTCACTTTGTGAAACTCAGTCTCTGATTATACAACATCTTCATTCTACTGGCTCTTCGTGTTCTATTTTAACAGAGTGTGTAAAAGAATTTAAGGGCATGATTCTTTTTCAGCTTCACAGTTTGGTTTCAATTTGATTATTGGTTAAAAATAAAATAACTATTGAAATAGAAGTGTTGGGAAATGTGTCGCAAGAATCAAGGCAGAGAATAGAAAATTCTGAAAGTAAGTACCACATATTTATTCTGTCAATAATCTGTCCTCAGCCGGGATTGTGTGAAATTTTCTCTTTTCATAGTCTTAAGCATTCCTGGTGGAGACATCACTTTGGATGACTTGGTATTTCTGAGTTTGATGTTTTACTGTCATCAATAAAGGGGAAAGAAGGTTTTGTAACATAATATGAAAGAGAAGTTCAGTGACATTTAACTCAACTTGAATTGTTCTTAATTTTTAAAAGTTACATAATATTTAATACATCCAACATAATATGTTTAACTTTCATGTGTGGAGTATAAAACAAAATAAAATGAACACTCTTGAACCCATAAGTTAAACCAAAGTCTAAAATATCACCCTTTGCTTTATAATACCTTATGTCTTTCTTTGATCATGTCCCCTATTCCCCATTCCCAGAGATTACCAAGATCATGGATTTTGTGTTTATTATTATCCCTGTTATTTAAGAAATGTATTTGCTACATAGGCATGTGTTCATAGTAGAATATTATTTAATTTTACTTGTTTATGAGTTTTATGTAAAGCGTTATATGTGTAGATGAATTTTCAATCAAAAATTTATTTCTAGGATTAATGAAATTTTATATAGTTATGAGTAATTCATCTTTACTGATCTGTAATATTTCATAGTAATATGTCACAATTTATTTATTCATTTGTACCAGTCATGATTCTGACAGGCAAACAAAAGCCACTCTATATTTAATAGTTATAACCCACAATTCAAGGCTAATATAACTGTGGGAAGAGATGAAGGAAAGGTCTTCAGGAAAGTTCCACCAACAGGCCGTAAAGATGGGAGCCTAAAGCCTCAGAGCACAGGGGAGAAACCAGAGCTCCAGGATATTCTATGAAGCCTGTCATGATCACAGACTGGAAGTTTGAGGAAAGATTTGCAAAACTTGCCAAGACCAAGAACTGGGAATTTGTGGACAGGTCTGTGGGGCTGCCACATCCACGGAGTGAGCACTCACATAGAAGTCAGCAGAGCACCACGTCTGATCTCTATGACTTGCGAGGAATAATGGACTCCAATTCATGTCCGTCTTCCAAATGTGATGCAACTTCTTGATATTGACAAAACCCACCACGAAAGTGAACCTACGTGGAAAGGGATCTGAAAAGTTGTTTTGAGACATAAAAATGCTGGTTATGGTGTGGAGTTGACAACACACTATTCTTGAATTTATCATCATTTTTCCCCACTATTTTTGCTCTTGCAAGGATTGAGACTGAATACTCTTGTACATGTGCCAAGATTTCTCTGGATGATATATCTAGGAATGAGATTGCTGAGGCATAAGGTAAATGGATTTACAGATTGACAAGACACTGCCATTATGGTTGTATTCATTTACACTCCCACAGGTGCGTATATAAGTACATGTTTCTCCACACTCTGGCCAATGCTTGATGTCTGACCTCTTCATAGTCATAGACCTCTTATATAGTGTGTGTAAAATTATGTCATCATGGTCTTAAATTTGATTTGTTTAAATTATAATGCGATTGAATTTCTCATAAGATTTTTCCATTCCCATTCCTCCTTCAATGACACATTTATGACTTTATCCTTTATCTATTAAGTCTTTTTTCTTTTCCTTAGTTCTATATTTGTTTTTGTAAACTACTGCTTTAATGGTAACATGTAATGTCAACCATCTTCAGATTTGTGATTTATGTTTTCACCTACTTTGTGGTGCATTTTCACAAGCAGATATTCTTAATTTTAATCAAATTTTATTTTACAGTTATTGTATTTTCATCATTTTAAAAATATTAGAAAATTTTCTTCTAGAAGTTCTAAAGTTTTATATTTCACATCTAAGTCTATAAACCATCTAGAATTTAGTTTTTCTGTTATGATGTAGGAATTAATTTTATTTCTCTTACTATGGATAGCCTATTATGCTATATATTACGTAGCTCCTTCTTTCCTTAGTATTTTAGTTTCCTATCGCTTCTATAACAATCACCACAAACTTAAACTTCATGGCTTAAAACAAATCAAATTCATTATTTTACAGTTGTGGAGTTCAGAAGTCTGAAATGATTTCTTTGAAGCTGAAATCCAGGTGTCTGCAGGGTTGCATTCCTTTAAGAGGCTCTAGGGCAGAATCTGCTCCCTGACTTTTCCACCTAATAGAAGCTGCCTTCATTCTTTGGCTCATGGCCTCCTTTCATCTTCAAAGCCAGCAATTGTATCCCTCGAGCCCATGCTATTGCCATCACATCTCCTTCTCTGACCCTGCTGCCTCCTTCTTTCTTTTAAAAAGACATTAGGCACAGCTGGGTAATCCAGGATAATCCCTCATCTCAAGATCTCTAATTTAATCACACCCATATAGTTTCTTATGTAGAGTAACATATTTACAGATTCTTGGTATTAGAACATGGACATCTTTAGGGGACCATTATTCAGTCAGTGATCTGTAACACTACCTCTGTCAAATGTCATTTTAACATACACAGGAGTCTGTTAATGGATTCTGGATTCCATTGCTCTATTTGTCTATCTGTGCCCCAGGACTGGATGCTTCATACTGTCATAATTAACACAGGTTTATGATGAATCTTGATATGTGGAAGGAATAGTTCTTGACTTGTTCTTTTGCTTCTGAATGGTTTTGGCTCTTCTTGGACTTTCACTTTTTTAAACAAATTTTAGGACCAACTAATAAGTTGATCCAAACCCTATGGTGATTGTAATTAGAATTACATTGGATATGCAGATGAAATTTAGAAGACTAGAAATCTATACGCCATTGGGAGTTCCTATTTATGAACACAATATATCTCTCAACAAAATGTATTTTATACATGTTCTGTAAAGGTTTGAACATCTGTGGCTAAATTTATTTCTAGAAAATCTAGTTTTTAAAATTCCTATATAAATGGTATCTCCTTTAAAAAAATTCTCTAATTATATGCTGCTGGCATACAAAAATACAATTAACCTTTTTTGTATAACAGCACCTTGCTAAGCTCTCTTACTAATTCTAATATTTTTATGAAAACACTTTGTTTTCTATGTATATAATTATATAAATGGCATTTTTTTACTTTCTGATATTTATAATATTTATCTGTCTTAGTAGATTGTTTGAGTCGTTGGTGCTGAATAAAGTGTCAAGAATGTGCATCTTTACCTTGTTTAAGATTTTTTAAATCAGTAAATCTACTGTTCCTATGAATTTTGAATAGAAGCCTTCTATTGACTGATGATGTTTCCTTTGTTTTTCAGATGATGTGAGTTTGTATAATGATTAAGTTTAAATTCTATCAAATCATTTTTCCAAACAAATAAAATGCTAGCCTTTTTATTCATTAATTTGTTAATGGGTAAATTACAATTAGAGGTTATAAATCTTAAAATACTTGTATACCTATGATAAATAAAACTCAATCATGATGTATTTTGTACATACAACAGGACTTAGCTATGATACTATTTTGCCAAGTGGGTTTTTTCATGTCATTTTTTTTTTCTTTTATGAGTGGCTTTGGTCTATGCATTTCCTTTTCTGATTTGGTTTTGGTATGAAGGTTATATTCTCCTGCTGAGTTCTTGGATATTTCTCCATTTTTTTCTCTGGTGCATAGATTGGAATGATACATTTCCTATAAGTCTAGAGAGATCCCTTTGTGCAACTAATGGGACTGGTATTTCTTTATAGTACATTTCATTATGATTTTATGCTGATTTTATTTTTTAATACATTTTATTGTATATATTTAAGGTATACAACATGATGTAATGGGATAATATAGAGAGCAAAATGTTTACTGTAGTGAAGCAAACTGACATATCCATCATCTCGCAGTTACCCATTATTTTTTTAGGTTTTGTGGCAAGTGCAGCCAAAATCTACTTAGGATGAAATCCAAATACAGAACAATTTTATTACCTATAGTCTACATTGTGTACACCAGGGGTCCCCAATCCCTGGGCTTCAGACCTGTACTGGTCTGTGACCTGTTAGGAACCAGGCCGCATAGCAGGAGGTCAGCAGCTAGCAAGCCAGCATTACCATTACTGCCTGAGCTCCACCTCCTGTCAGATCAACCCTGGCATTAGATTCTCACAGGAGTGGAACCCTATTGTGAACTGCACATGCAAGCGATCTGGGTTTTGCATTCCTTATGAGAATCTTAATGCCAGATGATCTGAGGTGGACAGTTTTATTTCAAAACACCCCCACCCTCCTCCACCCCAACCCCCACCCTCCTCCACCCCCACCCCACCAGTGGAAAAATTGTCTTCCACGCAACTGGTCCCTGGTGCCAAAAAGGTTGAGGATTGCCAGTGTACACTCTGTCTCTAGACTTGTTCATCCTACATATCTCCTACATTTTATCCTCTGACTTACGTTTCCTTATTTCCACCCCAACCATGGTAAACAGTTTCATTTTCTTGGTATTTTTTTTCAGATTCCATATATAAATGAGATCATCCATATTTTTCTTTTTGTGTCTGGCTTATTTCACTTAACATATTGTCCTCCAAGCTCCTCCACATTGTGGCAAAAATGGCAAGGTCTCATTGTTTTTCAGGCTGAATAATATTCCACTATATTGTTTCTTTATCCATTTGTCTGTCAGTGGACACTTAGATTGTTTCCATATCTTTAGTATCATGAATAATGCTACAATAAACATTAAAGTGCAGGTATCTTTACAAGGTGATTTTTATTTCCTTTGGGTATATGCCCAGGAGAGGGATTGTTGGGTCATATAGTAGTTCTATTTTTAATTTATTTAGAAACCTTCATAGGATTTTCTGTACTGGGTATACCAATCTACATTCCCATGGGCAGTCTACAAAAAATACCCTTTTCTGCTCACTCAAGTAAAAATTTGGTATCTTTTGACTTTTTGGAAATAGCTATCCTGATAAGTATGAGGTTGAGGTGGTATCTCGTAGTGGTTTTGATTTGCATTTTCTTGATGATTAATGATGTTGAGCATCTTTTCATATACCTGTTGTTTATTTTTATTTCTTTTTATAAGTGTCTATTTAGATCTTTTGCCCATTTTTAAATCGGTTTTTCTGCCATTGAATTGTCTTAATTCATTATAAATTTTGAATAATAACCCTTAATAGATGTGTGCTTTGCAAATATCTTTTGTTCCCAATCCAGAGGCTGTTGTTCCAGTTTGGCGATTGTTTCCTTTGCTCTGAAGGAGTTTTTTAGTTTAATGTAGTCCCGTTTATTTGTTTTTGCTTTTGTGGCTTGAGCTTTTGGTATGACATCCAAAAATTCTTTACCAAGGCCAGCCTTCAGAGGTTTTGAACCTATGTTTTCTCAGAAATAAATCTAAACATATACAGCCAACTGATTTTTTTTTATAAGGGCACCAATAGAACACAATGAGGAAAGGATAATCTTTGCAATAAATTGTGCTAAAAAAACACTGGATTTCTATATGCAAAAGAATGAAATTGGACCTTTATTATATATCATATGCAAAAAATAACCCAAAACGGATGAGACCTAAATGTAAAAACAGAAACTATGATGTTATTTCAAAAATATTTTACATGAGTTTTTATTCTTTCATTTTGTTTTTCACATTCTCAATTAAAATGCTATTTGCATACAATGAAATAATAGTTCCTAAGAGTGCAGCTTGATAAATTTTGATAAAAGTATACCTATACCTCCAACAAATATAGAGCATTTCTGTCACCCCAGATATTTCCTTCATGCCGCTTTCCAGCCAGTTCAACTTCAGGCTCTGTTCTCAACAGACAACCACTCTTATGAAGTCTAACACCATATATTATTTTTGCTGCTAGAATTTTGTAATAGTGGAACCTAACATAATGTATTCTTTTATATCTGGCTTCTCAAATGTCTGTTAGATACATCCAGGTTGTTGTGTCAATCAGTGGCTAGTTTCTTTCTGTTTACATATAAACTTGTTTGTCCGTACTTCTAGGATGAGCACTTGTTTACATCTGGCTTAATGGTGATTGTGAATAAAGTGTCATGAGCATTCACGTGCAAGTTGTTTTATGAACATATGTTTTTAATTCCCTGGGATAAATACTTAGCAGTTGAATTACTGGATCATAGTGGAACTGTAAGTTTAACTTTATAAATAACTGCCAGTCTTAAAATGATACTACTGTATCATTTTAAACTGCCAACAGCAATTGCAGTAGTAATTACACATCTTCATCAGCATTTACCATGAGTTTTCCTTTAGTTTTAGCCATTCTGGGGTATGTATATATGTGTGTGTGTGTGAGATTTACCATTGATTCGATGGAGTTCTTTATAGATTATAGATATTAGTCATTTTTCAGAGGTAAGGAGTGTTTTCTCTCAGCCTGTGGCTTATCTATTCAATTTTTTAATGAGTGTTTGCATCAGTAGGGCTTTTTTTTCTCACCCCCTTTTTTTTTTTTAACTTTAAGTTCTGGGATACATGTGCAGAATGTGCAGGTTTGTTACATAGGTATACACATGCCATGGTGGTTTGCTGCACCTGTCAACACATCATCTACATTAGGTATTTCTCCTAATGATATCCCTCCCCTTACCCCCACAGGCCCTGGTGTGTGATGTTCCCCTCCCTGCGTGCATGTATTCTCATTGTTCAACTCCCACTTATGAGTGAGAACATGCAGTATTTGGTTTTCTGTTCCTATGTCAGTTTGCTGAGAATGATGGTTTCCAGCTTCAACCATGTCCCTGAAAAGGGCATGAACTCATCCTTTTTTATGGCTGCATAACATTCCATGGTGTATATGTGCTGCCACATTTTCTTTATCTAGTCTGTTATTGATGGGCATTTGGGTTGGTTCCAAGTCTTTGCTATCGTAAATAGTGCTGCAATAAACATAAGTGTGCATGTGTCTTTATAGTAGAATGCTTTGTAGATCTTTGGGTATATACCCAGTAATGGGATTGCTGAGTCAAGTGGTATATCTGGTTCTAGATCCTTGAGGAATCAACACACTGTCTTCCACAATGTTTGATCTGATTTACACTCCCACCAACAGTATAAAAGCATTCTTATTTCTTCACAGCCTCACCAACATGTGTTGTTTCCTGACTTTTTAATAATTGCCATTCTAACTGGCATAAGATGGTACTATCAACAGAATGAACAGGCAACCTACAGAACAGGAGAATATTTTTGCAATCTACCTATCTGACAAAGGTCTGATATCTAGAATCTTCAAGGAACAGAAAAGACAAATTTACAAGAGAAAAGAAATATCATCACAAAGTGGGTGAAGTATATGAGCAGACACTTCCCAAAAGATGACATTTATGTAGCCAACGAACATATGAATAAAAGCTTATCATCACTGATACATTAGGGATTTTTTTTTTTTGGTGCTCTTTGCTTTCTAATTAAGTAATCTCTTCCTAGCCTAGGTTCACAAAGGTTTTTCTAATGCTTTCTTCTTAGAATCTTTATAATTTTAGTTGTCACATATAGTTCTATGATCGATCTCAAAATAAGGTTTGCCTACGTGTGAAAGAGGTCATGAAAGTTTTTTTTTGTTTCCTTTTTTGTTTTGTTTTGTTCTTTTTCATACTGATATTCAATTGTTTCATTACCATTTGTTGAAAACACTTTACTTTTCAAATTTGGTTGCTTTGACACTTTTGCTGACAATAAATTGACCACCTATGTATAGTCTTTTTGGGCATTATACCATACCATATCTATTTACCTATACGTACAACAATCCATACTCCAGTAAAAAAATTGAATAAAAGGGGTAAGAGCAGACATCTTTCTTTTTATTCTGGACTTGGGAAAAAAACTGAGTTTTATACCATTAACTATGGTGTATTTCTTACTGAGGGATTATGGCAGAAAGAAAAAAGAGAAGAGAAGAGAAGAGAAGGGAAGAGAAAAGGAAAAGAAAAGAAAAGAGAAGGAAAGAAAATCTCTGATATAGAAAGCAATTTTACTTAGTCTTACTTATCATTGTTCTTTATGTTCCCAAGATAGTTTTTGGTGCATTCTATGTTCTTTGTATTTTTAGTTTAATCGACGAATTATGGCACAAATTATTACCTCGGTCATTTGGTTTGGAAATGTTCCTTTTAGTAGCTAACATAAATGCTTTCGTAACTGCTCTTAGTTCACTTGTTCTTATTTATGTTTCAAGATGATTAAGCAAATTATGTGGAACCCCAGAATTTTTTATTTCGACAAAGTGTTTTGTATATATGCTTTATAAGTACTGTTTTTTAACTTTTATGTGCTCATATCTTTTATTTACTAAAACAACTCTTTAATATAGACAATGTAAGATTGAACAATAATTGAGTCCCTTTATTCCTGATTATGAAAGTTGTAATAGAAAGTTATGGTCACCAGACAATGCTTAACAAACTTGAATATCAAATTTTATTTTAGATACTAATTTAAAGCATCGATTTTAAAATATTGATTGCAAACTTTTACAATTTTGAAGGTTCATAGACTTACGTTAAAATCATCTCTTATTTCAATAATATAGTTTGAGAGAAAAAGCCTTTAGAAATTCTGTAAACCAGCATGATTGTCCTTAGTTTCTTTCCTTAATAAATGATTCATTTGATTATATATGTAAATGATATTTTCAACATACTTTTCACTTTGGCATTCTTTTAAGAAGAGATATAGCTTTTAAAATGAGTGTTAGATTAGATATCTGAAATGGTTTGGGGTTTGTGTGTGTGTGTGTGTGTGTGTGTGTGTGTGTGTGTATGTTTATGGCATGACTCTCTTCTCAGTGGTAAAGTTTGGAAAACCTATAACCTATCAATTACTCTTGGTGCAAATAATCACTTTATTGTACCTTAAAACAGACATTCTATTGATTTTGTTTCCTAGTTCAATTTTGTGGGGAAATTGCTTGGACCAAGAGGAAACTCCTTGAAGAGGCTACAGGAAGAAACAGGTGCTAAAATGTCTATCCTGGGCAAAGGATCAATGAGAGATAAAGCTAAGGTACTGAACTTTGAATCTAATATTTACCACATTCAGGAGGTTACCTATAACACTGAAGGCCAAATTTACAAGCATGCCTGAACTGCTCTTTCACCATTTCCTATGATTTCCATTTCCTGGGATCACCCTGTGTCACTTTCTGCTATCTCCTCTCTCTTCCTAAAAATCAATTATTGGCCTCCCTTCTTTTTCTTTCCAGAAAGTATATTCTATATTTTCATTTTCTTTAGTCCTTTGTGTAGGTTGCTGTCACATCTTTTCACTTTTTCTGTGTCCTCTGTAGAATGTTTCTATATGTCTGTGTTCATTTTCTTTAATTCCCTCGCTGGTTCCTTTTTCTTTCTTCAATCATATCACCTAATAACATCCATTGTATCATTCTCTCATTTTATCTCTCTGCTCTATTTCACTTTGATCCTCTTACCTGAAGCAATTTCTAATACTTATCTGCAAATCTAAGAGAATCCTGCTTATTTCTTGAAATGCTTCAATGATATTAAACAACTCACCTGACCCCCAAAAGAACAATAAGAGATCTATCAAGTTTGATGTTTGAAATGATTTATTTCACATCTGTACTACATTATTTCTTATTTTATAAAGTGTTAGCAATTTTCTCAGTGTTAGAATTCAGTGTTTGGGAGAAATGACAATTTGTAGAGATTTATTCCAAAAGGATCTTTGAGGATTCACTGCGAAAGGCGGGATGTATTTCGTAGTATCATTTGACCAGGCCACACTTTTGTGACTTGGTAATGTTATTATGGAGAATGAAATGTTTAAATATTTATTTTTGAGTATGAGAATCCTTAGAAAATTGCTCAGGAGTCCTGCATCTGTGTTAATGAGACATATTAAATGAGGAAATTTATAGTGTGAAATGTCACTGAACTGGTGAATATATCATACATAAAGTATCTTTACTGTAGTAAGTCTACATTAGGAGTTTTAGCAAAACTCTCCATTTGGGTGCTTTCTTAGAATGGTTCAATAATCAACTGTAGAAAGTCACAGACGGAATGATTTTTACTAGCCCTTTCTTTGGGATAACTTTTGATTACTCTATACTGTGTACAATTTCAGCAACGACTGTATTCTTGCCAATCCTCCTGCCTCTAGATTCTCTGACTACACTTAAAATAAATATTACAAATATTTAAGAGGTGAGCACACCAGCATCTAGACATGAGATAAGCTTTTGTCCTGCCACAAGTTTAGATTTTCTTTATATAAGAGGAGAAAATGACACATAATTACCTATGTCTGTACTTTCATGTATTCTTTAATATTGTTTTTGTTATGAATTTCCCAAATACTTCATACTGTTATATTATAAACTTCATATTGTGTGTTTTTACGGTCTCACACATTCTTTAAGATTTCAGCTTGTCATCATCTCCCCAGCATGGCTTCCCTGAACTCCTATAATAGGCTAAGTACTCTTTTATCACTTAACATATTTTACTGTATCTGTTTTTATCTCCAGGATGGAGAACTGTTCTAGTTAGCTTTGCACATGCAGAATCTACATGTAGTATTTCTATATCTTTTAAAACAGATGGATACATATTTTTAATTCTCATATATTTGGACATTTTTTCCTGTTCATAAAGTTTTAAACTAAATTTGTTTTTCCCTGTGAGCATGTTAGGTACCAGCAAAAGTATTGGAAAATCCAATAGGAAACAAATTTGCTTCTATTAAGTTTCCATGAGGTTTAATTTACTAATATTACCTGTTACTTACAATTCAGTTTCTTATTACTCTTTGTGTGATCCATCATGTTTGACTATGATTTGAGTGTTTTCACTTTTTACCAAATTAAATAAAATAACATATTAAATAATAATAATACATTGTACTGCAAAATATTTTTTAGAATTAAGATAAGGCCTTTTTTTCTTTCTTTTTCTTTCTTTTTTTTTTTTGTTCCACTTGCTTGCTTTTGAATGATAAGGTCTTAACTTTCTCAAGTATTGGACACCTAGCTGAAATAAAATCACAGGCATGGATATGAAAAATCTACCTTAGTAAACACTTGATTAAAATAAAAGATAAATCCTTGGTAAATTATTGATTATGATGCTGTTATTTTGCCTCTGCATCACGACATAAACAGGAAAGAAGATTTTACATAATTTTGTTTTTTCTAATTATTAAATACATCACATGGGATTGTGCAATAAAAGTGTATATGTGTGAATCCATACAAACCGGCATATGTTCATGCATTGATTATTTATTGAACACATTTTATGTAATTCACAGTTCTAATTTATAGTAATGAATACAAGGTCTTCCTCTCTTAGAGTTTACATTCCAATGGGAAAGACAGATAATAAATATATGAATACATTTTATACTTTTAGGACTTGATAATTTTTATGGATTTAAATGAAACAGAAGCAGGGAAAAGAGGTTAGTGGTGTTGGGAGCAAATTTTGATACAGTGATCAAGTAGAAAGAACACTGGAAGATGAGAAGGAGCCAAACATAGAAATATCAGAAAGGAGAGAGAATGCCAAGTGTGACGGCCCTGAGGGAGAATCTGTACTTTATGTATAACCATAGCTATATCTAAAACTATTATGACAACTATAGCCATATATTTATTTAATAAATATACTTATTCCCCTTTGGCTACCATCTGATTTCTTTATAGTAAAACTCCTGGAAAGTAATTCGCAATCACTGGCTCACCTTCATTCTTTATTGTTCCCCTCCTCAGTCTCTGTGACTGGATCCTCTTGTTCCAGACCTCCAAGCCCAGACTTGGTCTTCAGATTTCTTTTTTTCCTTCATGTTCTTATAGCACCAATGTGCTCTGAACCTCAAATTTATGTCCAGCTTCCAGTCTCCCCCTTAAGTGCTAGATGCTAAATTTATATATTTACCTACTCAACATGTCAATGTGGATGTAACAGGCATTGAAATGTAATATGTCCAAGGACACATACCTACATACACATAAGTATGTATGGGTATGTATGTTGACAAAGACTCTCCTTGACCAAACTTAGGCAGGCCTCTCAGAATCCTCTTCTCAACTTTGCCTGACTTTACAAAGATTAGCCATGTTTAAAATTTAGATCAGCAAGTATTAAGAAGTTCAACATGCAACTGCCAATCTTTTTATCCAACAGAAAAACTAAATAACTGAAGCCACATGAGGGGCTCCTTGTGTGCTTTACAAAGCCTGGGTCGGCACTCTTCTCTGTGGTTTCATAGATAGGTGACTTTGCAGGATATATTGTTTAATAAACATGTTTGCCTCACCTTTATAAGACATGATAATGCAGATTGCTTTTCTATGTTGGGTATGCTGCTAAGGTACTACAAAATGTATGTCTTTTTTCTTTTTCTTTCTTTTTCTTTTTTTTTCTGACAGTGTCTCATTCTGTTGCCCAGGCTGGACTGCAGTGGTACTATTGTGGTGCAATCACAGCTCACTGCAGCTTTGACCCACCGTTGGGCTCAGGGCTCGAGTGATATTTCCACCTCAGCCTCCCAAGTATCTGGGACTACAGGTGAACGCCACCACACCTGGTTAATTTTAAAATTTTTTGTAGAGATGGAGTCTCCTTTTGTTGTCCAGGCTGGTCCTGAACTCCTGGATTCAAGTGATCCTCAAGTGATCCTCCTGCCTCAGCCTGCCAAAGTGCTGGGATTATAGATGTGAGCCACTGTGAGCACTTAAGCGGGAGACTGGAGGCTGGACATAAGACATACAAAGTATGTCTTAAACTCGATCTTTACTTCATGATAAAAGAAGATATTTGGTTGTGTAAGTCAGGGAAAAAAATCAAAAATATTTATTCCATATCTACTATTACTTCAAGAATAGATTCAATATTATGCTATATAAAAAGTATTAGACATGAGTCACAAAGCTTGATACTTAATTAAACATATTGACCAGTGTAACATTTTTTTAAAAAAAATTAAGAAAATAACAGTCATTCGGATTAGTAGGTAGATAGAATGACAAACTCATTTCGTTTTGTTTTTGTGGATCTAATAATACTTCTTAATCCTTACATAAGAAAATACGAAGTATTAAGATATGTTTCCAGATCATTATAAAGTTAATTGCATCATATATAAAATAATTCTAGTGGTATCTAATAAGAAGATTCAAGTTTAATGTTTTTCTTTGTGTTATCTCGTGTTGGGGAAACATTACTTTTTGTTTAGTTATACCTAGCCGATAACTCTGTAAGCAGAAAAAGAAAATGAAAACAAAGTAAAATATAATAATATTCAAGGTAATACCAGTAGCAAAATCCTACCATATAGTCATGATTTCTTTCTCGTATTGGTCAGATCCCACAATATATGAACTCACATCCTACTTAAGACCAGCCAGGAATGCTTGCACAGAAGCTACATTTTAAATTGTGAGAAGAAAAAGTATTCTTAGAGAAATCTAGAAAGGAAAATATACAGCATGTATGAAATATTTCAAAATACCTCAGGAAATTAACTAGCAGTTTAGAAAGTTCTTTAAAGTCTAAGTCCTTCATATACCATATGGCCAGCTGGTTCTAAACAACCACAAAGCTGCTGGTTTCACTGGTAGTTGCTTCTGAGCAATGTTCAGGGTAACTTACTGTAGCTTCAGATAGAGTGTTGCTATTTTGGGGGGTGTTGATGGCAAAGACTGGTGAGGGAGAACAGAGGAAGCAGTGGTTCTACAAGCTTATTTTTGAAAACTGTGACAAATAAACATATTCTCTCCAAGAAAAAAGGTTAGAGGGGTTAGAGAAAATCAGACAATAGCTGAACACACCCAGACAAGAGTGAGGAAAATAGGAGATCTTGAAAGCAAATTTCTTAGACTCACCTATTGTCCTTAAATGGAAATCACAAATGGACATGTTGTGAACAAATTATGTTGTAATGAAAGGTATTTTGGCATTTCTGTTAATAAGCTTGGCTGAAATTACGAAATGGGGTATTAAAGCAGTCTCATGATTATATGTTAAAAGTACAGTGCTGTTTGGTGGATTTTTATTTGAAAAATGTGTAATACTTCTCAAGGCAAGCTTTTCTGTCTTTGATGCAGTAATAATGTGCAGTTTCTATTCTAGAATATTTCTTCTGCATTTGGTGATGACTACTTTAGTAAATTCTTTCTGATTTCATGGCAAATTGATTTTCATCAACAGTAAAATCAACAAAAAACCTTCAAAGAGATGTGGCTGCCTAGTGGGCAATATGGGTGTGAACCTAGCACCAGCCATCTCTCATCTGGCTTCTGGGCTCTGCCTAACATCAAACAGCATAATAGTCTCTCAAATCCTGAAGGGGTGAAGTCATGCTCATTGCTTGTCAGTCAGGCTGTGACTGGTTACATAGACTCCTGTTTCAACTCTTTAATATCTTGAACACCAAAGCAGTTTATAATCCTACAAAATCAAGAGCCCAGACACCCTGACTTTCATTTTAGCTGTGCCTCTAATGAACTGCACAGTAGATCAACAACATTTCTTTCTTGACTGGCCTTCTGAAGGAAAGAATGCCTAACTCATTTTGACTTCCAGCAGAGTTAAAGGAATCAGCATAATAACTTGCTTAAATATCATTTGTGTTTGTGAAACATAAGCAGAGTATTATAAAATATAGATAAGTGGAATTTTATTTATGTTTGATTCATTCAACTTTCCTGTTTCTCTGATTTGAATTTTAGAGTAGGAGTAACAGACTGAAAGGTCCTTCCTGAACCATAGCTCTTGTGATAAGAAGCATTGTGTTAAAATATATATATTTGTGGGAATACAATGAAACTTATGTTGCAACGTTTAACCAATAGATTATTTCAGTATGTGTTATATTTGGAATATACATGACCAAATAATTAATTAGGTTTGATTTGAGGAGTGAAGTATATCATCATATTTGTGAGACAATTTCTCAAATTAGCATCTTCATCTTTTGTTGTATGAATAATTTATCATTCAGTGTAGTGTGCCTGTGACCTTAGAAAGAAAAAAAAGCCATAAAGTTATCTGGGCTCAAGTTCTTCATAAGCTTCAATAACAGGATATGGGGTAGTAATGTTTTATGAATTTTGAATCAAAGTTATATATTATCTTAAATCATTGATTTCCTCTCATCTGATTTTATTCGCATCTAGACAAATTCCTTTTAATTTTTGTAATTAAGACCTGCTCCTTGGAAACTTTCAGGGACCTAATGACACAGCCATAAACCAAGTTTTATATACAGAAAACATTTTATTAATGCTACTTGTATAGTAACTTGTCCTCATTGTCACTTGTGACTCATTATTTGTACTGTACCCTTATTTCCCTAGAAGAGTGAAATGAGAGAATCACAGAATCAGGGTCTCTCCCACCATATTGTAAGACATTTTTGTTTACTAAGCTATTAAAAAAGAATGTATGAAAATAGAAATTTTTAGACATTTTACAATTTATAAGCCAGAATTATAATGATGTAGTTCTTTTCTACCACTGAGGATGGTCTATTATTTTAGGTCATAAGCTTTACTGCTGATCTGAAATTTTTTTTTCTTTTTTTATTGAGACGGAGTCTCATTCTTGCTGCCCAGGCTAGAGTGTAGTGGTGCAGTCTCGGCTCACTACAACCTCCACCTCCTGGGTTCAAGTGATTCTCCTGCCTCAGACTTCCAAGTAGCTGGGATTACAGGCGCCCGCCACCATGCCCTGCTAATTTTTGTATATTTAGTAGAGACAGGGTTTCACCATGTTGGCCAGACTGGTTTTGAACTCCCGACCTCAGGTGATCTGCCCGCCTCAGCCTCGGAAAGTGCTGGGATTACAAGTGTGAGCCACCGTGCTTGGCCTAAAAATATTATAGTAAAAGTACAAATGCAATATAACCAATATGGAAAGGGGCCAGGTTATATATCTGGACAATATTTTAAATTTCACATTCTGTGGAACTTTTAAAAATGGCTGCAAATTATTTGACATTTATTTTAGAGAGAGATGAATAGGGTCCAATTCTCTTCCCCTTGAATCTGGATAGTTTCAGTGACTTGCTTGTAACCAATAGAATGCAGAGTAGTGTTGGTTCGTGATTTTGGGGGCTACATTGGAAGAAGCTGTGTACCTTCTTTCTCATTTGCAGAAACACTATGTCTTAGAGTTTAAAGGTGCCTTGAAAGGATTCTGAAAATCCTGATGCTGCTTACTGTGAAGAAAGCCAAAATTACATCGAAAGGCCATGTATAGGTGCCAGTGGGCAGTCCTACTTTAGTCCAGCCTTTGAGTCATCTTAGTGCAGGCTTTACACATGCGAGCAAAGAATTCACCAAATTATTCCAGTCCTTAGCCATTTGAGTGATCAGCTACTCAAGTCTTCCTATCTATGGCCCAAAAAATCCTGGAGCAGAGATGCAAGCTGTATTCATGGTACACTACCTAAATTTCTGACCCACAGAAACCATGTATATGATAATAATATTAAAATCATTATTTTAGACCACTAAATGTATCATGGTTAGTTATGCAACAATAAATAACTGGAACACATTATTACTACTTTATATGTAAAATTCTCTTTTTGCATTTCTGCTGCCTTCTAATGGCGATAAGCGCAGATTGATCATTTCTAGACGGGTGTGTGTGTGCGTGTGCGTGCATGCGTGTGTCTGTTGGGTGTTTGTTTTTAGTTTAGTTTTGTTCTGTATTGTATTGTATTGTATTTACAACTTATTTTGAATTTGCCTCTCCCACCGTCAAATAATTGAAGCACATGTCAACATTTTATTTAAAACTTGTCAAATAAAAGGCTGCCAAGAGAGGCAATTCAAACATTTCTTCTTGGTAGAGACGTTTTATGAGATACTAGACATCAAAAATAGAAAGCTCTAGTTTAAAAAGCATTAGGTTAGTCATAAAGCTGGTTTAAAGTCTTTCTGCCTTTGGATATCTGATTTAATGTCACAAAACTCAAGGTTAATTGGGCAGGTGATTCCAGTTTCTCTGTAAGTCTTCTTAATTTTACTACAACTTGACAAAGCAAGTGTTCTAGCATTTTACTAGGGATGCTAGATGGATCCCAAAAGCGAAAGTAAATGGCACTACACAGAAAGTACTGCCTCAGACCAAGACTGGAAGAGTTTTTATTTCTTAGTTCCTCCTTTTGAACATTTTAGATTGTTGAAGATTTATCTTGATCAACAAAATGTTCAATATGGTATTTTTGTGGGGAGACTATTAACTGAGCTTGTTACATCATTAGTCATTTCTTACATTTTATTGAAGGAAGAATTTAGATATGAGATCAGTCTGTGCAATACCTAGACCAAGATTACTGGGAATATATGTGCCCATTACATTATTTATTTTAACCAGATTGTTATATTAGAGAAAAATGAGAGAATCCAAAGGCAATTAAGTTTAGAAATATATATTTGTATACTATTAATATATATTTAGTACCACATACATATTATTTAGCAGATAATCTCTCTCTCCATACATACATATATATGAATTTAGAATGAAATTCAAAATTGTATGAAATTCTATATATATATATTTCTGCTGTCCTCTAATGGCGATCAATGCAGACAGATAATTTCTAGAGGGGTGTGTGTGTTTGTGTGTGTGTGTGTGTGTGTGTGTGTGTTTGCCTGTGTATCTATATAGATATGTACATGTTATTTTATTTAATAGAAAGCACCGATCAACACATAAAACACCCATAGTTGTATAGCAAACAAATCTAGAGCATGTATAATTTCTCAAGTTCTGTGTTGCATATTTTACTTTTTAAAATATTAAGATTTGCTTAATTTTTTTATACTGGATTCTATCTTTGCTTTGCCTACAAATTCAGTAACCAAAGCCAAGACCCACATTAATAAGTTACTGTTCTAATATAATTGAATATTAGAAAGAAAATTTACTTAAATAGCTTTATTTTGCTTGTTGTAACATACAATACATTATTAATTAATGGGTAATTTTAATGTCAAACCCTGTGGGAATGGTTATTGAAAAAGCAAAATAATAAGGATATTTAATCTCTTAGAAAAATCTTTGATGCAAAGGTTGTTGTTGTTATTATTTGTATGGTTTTAGAAAGATCCTGTTAAGTGTTTATTTTAATAGTTGAAATGACCCCAATATAAGCCATGTTTTTTAAAGAGAAACTTAGACAACTTGTTCTAGCATAGCTTGGGGAATTTGGAGGTACAATTAAGAGGATAATGGGCCCAGAGTGGGAATGTTAACGAGAAAAATTCTGCACTTAACTCAAGTGCGTCATCAGCAGTAATTTAGATTCTGAATTTCATTAGTTGCAGTGATGTTTATTTGACAGTGATCTATTTTCTTACCAGTTTTTTAAATTCACAAGTCATTCAAAAGTTGAATAGTAATCTATTTTTGTCAGTCATAAATATCTGAATCATTCCTTACTTGAGTAGAGTTGTCATGAATGCTTGAAAATTTATTTGGGCTCTTCACAATCATTGTTAAACAGTAGAAAACTGTTTTCTGGCTTTAGTTAATGACACTAAACGGAGCTCAAAGAAAGACCAAAAAAGAAAAAAAAAAAATCAGCAGCTTCTCAATCTAATGAATAACAACACCGCAGAGTTTACTTTTAATTGTTTTCTGGGTGTATGGGTTCACCAAGAGTGAAGTCAAAAACACTGAGGAAAATGAAATGCCAGGGATACAAATAAAAATTTACATATTTTGATGTAAACACAACGATTGGACCACTTGATTTTTTTTGCAGCAGGACAGTGTTTTATGCACTTCCGGGGATGCTGATCACGAGGCATTTCATGTGAATAGTGCCTCTGAGTTGTTCCATTGTGGCAGTTAAGCCAGTCATAGAAACAAGCATACCAAATGCCAATAAAGGAAACACATTTATGTATTTTTGCTTAATATCTAAATATTAGAAATCACTAACACCCATTATGAATAGATTTCCTTTTAAAATATTATATGCAAAGTAGTTTACTCTTTGCATATTTTTGTGCAAACTTAGCATCTTGTTTTAATTTTGAAAATACTAACATTAAATTTCTTTGCTTTTTGAGGTCAGAGTTTTGAGATGGACAGTAATCTGTTATGCCAGTATTCTTGCATATGCCTTTTTCCAGATAAGGAATCCTTTAGCTATAGGTATGTAATTGCTAGCATCTACAATTTTAGCATCACTATAGGGTTTTAAAAAAAGGCAAACAAAATGTGAGCCTTAATTTAAAGAATTTGGAACATTTCCAGAAGCTGTGATGTTTACATTTCTAAGCTTGTAATGCCCTCTATTTGCTGCTTCCTGTTCCTCAATAGTGGGCTTACTGTTTTCTCTTCGTTTTTGGGTGTTTTGCAGTATTTTATTTCTATCATTAAACTCTTATGGAATATTTTTTCCCAGTCTTCATTTTCTTTTTTTTTCGCCTAAAAATTTTAAGCTAAATAATTATCAGAATATTTTTTTTTCAGAATTTGAAACACCAAATGACTCTCATTTTTATTTTCTTGAATGTGTGAGAGATTTTTGTTTTCTCAGCAACACCGTCAATATCAGATTCACTCAAATCGAGTCCTTTAAGACCACAGTCACTCCTACCTATACAGGAATATAAATGATGCAGTATAAGATGGCAAGCCATTAAAAAACAGACATATCCTACCTTTGCTGAGTTAATATTTTCAGGATTCCAGTTCTATAAATTTTAGGTTTCAAAGTCTTATCCACATTTTATTTAATACTAATAATCTAAAGAAACTATGTAGAAACTTGTATTATGATGATTATTATTATCATTTAAGAAAGATTTTATAATATGAGTAAGGCAAGAGTATGCTTTGTTGGCAACTCTATAGCTTTAACATAATAATCTGGGGCATAAGAATTAAACTTGGGCAACATTTAGTTTCAGAATATTATGAGGATAACTGTGGGGTTGTGTTAGTTTCCTTCATCTGGTCTGAGGAATAACCTATGTACTTTTATGTCATAATACTCATAGTAAGTTAGTTTATGCAATCTTAAAGCTGGCAGAAAACCTAAAGATACTAGTTTAATTATTTCATTTGTATAGCTGTAATATATTGTTGCCCATGAAACAGTAATTTGCTTGAGATTACTGGGCAATTACTAGGACATATTTAACTATTGGGTGTGAAATACCCCAAAACATAAACATGAAGGTCATTTTATGAAATCAGCTTGCTTTCACTAGTAGATTAACATCAAGGAACCAAAACATTGGAAGAAATACACTTTTCCAAGCCTTCTCTTGATGTTTCTTTAACTATTGCAACCTAAGTTAAATAAATAGAAAATGGATCCAAATTACTTTTTTTTCTTATAATTTTAGGCTTAGAGAATAAAAGTGCAGGTTTGCTACATGGGTAAATCGTGTGTGTTATGGGAGTCTGGTGTACAGATTATTTTGTAAGACAGGTAATGAACATAGTGTCCGATAAGTAGTTTTTTGATCTTCACCATCCTCCAACCCTCCACCCTCAAATAGGCCCTGTATCTATTTTTCCCTTTCTAAATTACTTTAAATATTGTAAAATTACTTATAGGACATAGAAGATTGAGTTGACTGGTTCATTATAATATGGCCTCTATAAAGTTGAGTGGTTTAGATATGACTTATTTACAAAATGTTGCTATCCGTCCTCTCTTCTGTTTGCCACAGATGATGTGCACCCTGTACTCAGGGTGCCTAAGTCAACAGTTTACATACTTTGATTTGACAGCTCTCTGCAAATAGTGAGGTACAAGCAGAGAAACTAGATCACCACTTCTCTGCAACTCTAGCCCCACCCTTAGGAGAAGACTTGGAGCAACATGGGCTCTTCTGGGAAATCTTCATGTCTAGAGCCTGGAATATTCTTTTTAGGAGGAGAGAGTTTCCCTGTATAGTTTTGTAGGTTAGAAAATTGATCAAAGTATATTTAACTGCACATCTAATGAAGAATTTTTGTCACATTGCTATAAATTATTAAGTTGTAAACCAAAAGTGCCACCTTAGTGCAGATGTTCCCTGTTTGACCATTAGTTTTATTAAAATGACCAGAGCCACGCTGTTACATTTTTAGAAATGTTTTTACTTTAATTGTTCTGGGCACATAGGTGTATATATTTATGGGGTACATAAGATGTTTTGATACAGGGATGCAATGTGTAATAATCACATCATGTAAAATGGGGTATCCATCGCCTAAGGCATTTATCCTTTGTATTACAAACAATCCAATAATACTCTTTTAGTTATGTTTAAATGTACAATTAGTTTATTATTGACTATATTCACCCTGTTGTGCTATCAAATACTAGGTCTTATTCATTCTTTCTATTTGCTTTGTACCCATTAACCATGCCTACCTTTCCCCACAGCCACTAACCCCTTCCCAGCTTCTGATGACCATCATTCTACTTTCTGTCTCCATGAGTTCAGTTGTTTTCATTTTCAGACCCCACAAATAAGTGACAACATACAATATTTGTCTTTCTATACTGGCTTATTTCACTCGGCATAATCACCTCAATTTCCATCCATGTTGTTACAAGTGACAGAATCTCATTCATTTTTTTGTGGCTGAATAGTACTCCATTGTGTATAAGTACCACATTTTCTTTATCCATTCCTCTGGTGGTGGACACATAGGTTGCTTGGAATTCTTGGCTATTGTGAGCCATGCTGTATCTAACATAGAAGTGCAGATATGTCTTTGATATACTGATTCCTTTTTGTTAGGGTATGTACCCAGCAGTGGGATTGCTGAATCATGTAGTAGCTCTATTTTTACTTGTTTGAAGAACCTCCAAACTGTTATACATAATGGTTGTACTAATGTACATTTCTACCAAAGGTGTACAAAGCTTCCCTTTTCTCCACATCCTTGCTATTATTTATTAATTATTGCCCAACTACTGAATATAAGCCATTTTAATTGGGGTCAGATGATATCTCATTGTAGTTTTAATTTGCATTACTCTGATGATCAATGATGTGGACACCTTTTCATATATTCGTTTGCTACTTACATATGTTCTTTTCAGAAATACATATTCTGATCTTTTGGACATTTTTAATCAGATTATTAGATTTTTTTTCCTGCAGTACTATGTTCAGTAACAATGGTGAAAGTGGGCATTCTTGTCATCTTCCTGATTTGAGGAGAAAGGTTTTTTTTTTTTTTTTTTTTTTTCTGTTCAGAATGATACTAGCCATGGGTCTGTCATGGCTTATATTATGTTGAGATATGTTTCTTCTATACACAATTTTTGAGTGTTTTTATCATGAAGGAATGTTGAATATTATCAAATGCATTTTCAGCATCAAATGAAATGATTATATGGTTTTTGTCCTTCATTCTGTTGAACTGATGTATCATGTTGATTGATTTGCATGTGTTGAACCATCCTTGCATGATGAATGATCTTTTTAATGTGTTGTTGAATTTGGTTTGCTAGTATTTTGTTGAGGATTTTTGTGTCAATATTCATCAGAGATATTATCCTGTGGTTTTCTTCTTTTGGTGCATCTTTGGTTTTGGTATCAGGGTACTGGGCTTATAGAATGAGTCTGTTAGTATTCGTTTCTCCTCTGTTTGTTGGAATACTTTCAATAGGATTGCTGCTAGTTCTTTAAGTGTTTGGCAGAATTCAGCAGTAAAAGCCATCGGGTTCTGGTCTTTTTTATTTATTTAATTTTTATGGAGAGACTTTTTATTATGGCTTTGATCTCATTACTTGTTGTTGGTCTTTTTAGGTTTGGGATTTCTTCCTGGTTCATTGTTGGTAGGTTATTTGTGTCTAGGAATTTGTTCATTTCTTCTAGATTTTCCAATATATTGGCATATAGTTGCTCTTAATAGCCACAAATGATCCTTTGAATTTCTGTGGTATCAGTTGTAATGTCTCCTTTTTCATCTCTGATTTTATTTATTTGGACCTTCTCTCTCTCTCTCTCTTTCTAAATATATAAATGTATATATTTCCTTAATTATTCTGGCTAAAGGTTTGTCAATTTTTTTAACTTTTCAAAAAACCAACTTCTTATTTCATGGATATTTCATATAATTTTCTTCATTTCAATTTAAATTATTTCTGCTCTCTTGATGATGGGTTCAAGCAGTTCTCCTGCCTCAGCCTTCCTTTTGTTTGTGTTGGAAAGTTGTTATTTCTCCTTCATGTTTGCATATATATATATGGCATATATAATATCTATATGCCATATATATATTGCATATATAAATGTCCAAATATATATATATCTGGATATATATATCCAGATATACTATTATAGGGTAAAAGTGTTTTCTCTTCAGCACTTCAAATATGTTAAGCTAGTCTCTTCTGGCCTGTATGATTCCCACTGAAAAGTCTGCTGCCGGATGTATTTGAGCTCCATTGTATGTTATTTGTTTCTTTTATCTTGCTGCTTTAGTAGCTTTACTTTATTCTTGATCTTTGGGAGTTTAATTATTAAATGCCTTCAGGTAGTCTTCTTTTGGTTAAATCTGTTTGGTGTTATATAAACTTCTTGTACTTTAGTATTGATATCTTTCTCTAGGTTTGGAAAATTCTCTGTTATAATGCTTTTGAATAAACTATACCCTTATCGCTTTCTCTACCTCCTCTTAAGACCAATAACATTTTGCCTTTTTGAAGATATTTTCTAGAACCTACGGTTGTGGTTGTTTGTTTTTATTCTCTTTTCTTTTGTCTCCTCTGTTTGGGTATTTTCAAATAACCTGTGCTCAAGCTCACTAATTATTTCTTCTGCTTGATCTATTTTGCTATTAGAAGACTGACGTATTCTTTAGTATGCCAGTTACATTTTTCAACTCCAGAATTCTGCTTGATTCATTTTCATTATTTCAATCTCTTGTTAAATTAGTCTAATAGAATTCTGAATTCCTTTTCTGTGTTATCTTGAATTTCATTGAGTTTCCTCAACACTGCTATTTTGAATTCTCTGTCTGAAAGGTCACATATCTCTGTTTCTCCAGGATTGATCTTTGGTTCCTTATTTAGTTCATTTGGTGAGGTCACATTTCCTAGATGGTGTTAATGATAGTAGATATTCTTTGGTGTCTGGGCATTGAAGAGTTAGGTATATATTATAGTCTTAACTATATGGGTTGGTTTGTACCTGTCCTTCTTGAGAATGCTTTCCAGATATTTGAAAAGACTTGGATTTTGTGATATAAGTTGTTTCTGCTTTTGTGGGTACCCCAAGCCCTGTAATACTGTGGTTCTTGCAGACTCATAGAGGTACCATCTTGACGGTTTTATTTGTCAGGGTTCTCTTGATGAACAGAATTAATGAAATGTATATACATATATATAATATATATGTATATATATGAATATATATGGGAGTTTATTAAGTATTAACTCACACGATCACAAGGTCCCACAATAGGCCATCAGCAGGCTGAGGAGCAAGGAGAGCCAGTCCGAGTTCTGAAACTGAAGAACTTCAAGTCCAATGTACGAGGGCAGGAAGCATCCAGCATGGGAGAAGGATACAGTCTAGGAGACTAGGCCAATCTCTCTTTTCAAATTTTTCTGCCTGCTTATAGTCTAGCTGCGCTGGCAGCTGATTAGATTGTGCCTACCCAGATTAACGGTGTGTCTGCCTTTCCCCCCACTGACTCAAATGTTAATCTCCTTTGGCAGCACCCTAACAGTCACACCTAGAAGATTAATACTTTTTATCCTTCAATCCAATCAAGTTGACACTCAGTATTAACCATCACAATGGTCTTGGACCGGATCCAGGAGAATTCTCTGGATTAACTGGCAGAGACTTATGTTCTCTTCCTTTACTTTCTCCCAAACATGCAGAATCTCTGTCTCTCTTCTAAGCCACCTAAAGCTGGGGTTGGAGTAACACAAGCACCCCTGTGGCTACCACCACTATGACTATTTTGGGTCAAACCTGAAGCCAGCAAGGTGCTAGATCTTGCCTATGGCCTTCTATAACCACTTTTTGGCTACTGCCTATGTTTGTTCAAGGCTCTGGGGTTCTACAATCAGCAGGTGGCAAAGCTCACCAGGTCTGTGTCCTTCCCTTCTGGGTGGTGATGACCCCCAGGCCCCAAGTGGGTGCAGAAGTATCAACTGGTAGCCTGGCACTAGAGTCAAAAACCTTATAAGTCTACCTGGTGTTCTCTTGTACTGTGGCTGAGCTGACACTCAACCCACAAGACACATTTCTTCTCCCTACTTTCCAAAGGCAGAGGAGCCTTACCCATGGCCACTGCCACCACTGGCTCATGGTGTGTACTGTCAGACTACCATTGATATATTTCCTTAAGGCCCAAGGCATTCATTCAGCTTGTGGTGAATGCTTCCTGGCCTGGGACTCACACTTAGGCTTTGTTTTCTGGCCCAGGGAAGGTTGAGAAATGCCATGTTAAGATTCAAGTCCTGGAATTGGGGATCTCAGGAATTCACTTGGTGCTGTATTTCACTGTGGCCCACCTAAGGTACAGGACAAATTCTACCTTACTTTTCACTGCACTTTTTTTAAGTGGAAGAATTGCCCCATAGCTGCCACAACTGGGAATGTACTGAGTCTCTCCTGAAACCAGCAATTCTCAGAATCCTACCCAATTTTCTTGACATTGTGTCTGAGTATCATTGCTGGTTATTCCGGGCTCAAGGGCTCTTTAGTTAGCGGGTGATTAATCATGCCAAGACTGGCACCTTCCCTTTAAGGCAGCAGGTCCCTGTCTGGCCAAAAAAAATTATTTGAGCCTCCCTCCACCCCTGGTCCCTGGTGAGCTCTAATCTGCTTTCTGTTGCTATCTTCTATCCTTTTTCTAGTATTGCATAAGTAGGCATGTATTGACTTGTCTATGCTTTTTTCACTTAACATAATGCTTTTGAGGGTCATCCCTGTTGTTGTGTATGTCAGTAGTTCATTGTTTTATGTCACTGAGAATTTCTCCTTCATGTGCCTATACCACGATTTATTTACTCATTCTCCTATTGATGGTAATTTAGGTTGTTTCCAATTTGGGCTATTATAAATAAGGCTACTATGACGATTTATATATGTCTTTGTGTGGACATATGTTTTCACAGTAGAGTATTTGGGAATTATTCATCAAAAGTTAAAGCACAAGGACATTTATATAATCTTTTTTATTATTTTAATGTATTTATCACAAGACTATGAATTTTTTAGAAAGTTAGAAAGTACTAATGTTTCGGCTAAATATTTACTCTGATTTTTGGTTTGGTTTACTTGACGTTAGTAACATCTATTAGTTCTAGGAAAGACTCTTCTTAATTATTCATTTTTCATTCTGCAAATAATCATTTCTAAATTAAGATTTGGAAAATATTTTTTTTCAGGAGTACCCTAAATGAAGGTACCAATATTCAGAAATTAACTTGATTCTCATTCCCTAGTAAGAGAGACTAGATTTATTAGAAAAATGAAGCCATCTGCATCAATTTAGACAGTTTTACCAAATTGATTCATGAAATGTCTAATATTTTCATGTAATTAGCTGTGGCATTTTCAAACTCTATAACCAAGAGGAAAATTTAACCTTCTCTGAAGAATTGCACCCTCTAGGGCTGATACTTTAGAAAATTATATTGTTCTAAGGGAGTACTCACCAAAGAATTATATCAGACTTTGAACAGATGCTGCAAGATTCTTGTCTTATTACTAGTACACCAGAGTGGTGATATTAGAAATCTTCATCTCCTCCCTCACATCTGATGTTAAAGCAGATTTCCTATTTCTCATCTCTGACATTTTATTGGTGAATCTCTTGTGGCTGTTCCAGAAAAGTTCTGCTTTCGCTTACATTTTCTACTGTACTGTAAAATTAAATTTTAGTCATTAAGTTCAGTGCATGTCTTTTGTTGGAACTCTAAATGGTCTTTTCCTCTAATAGAAAATCAAGGGCTTATTTCAGATGATAGTATCTGTTTTTTTCTCACTTAGAATTTTATTTCTTAGTAAAGGAGCTTATATCTACATGTGCACATTCACTTAATGTAAACAAAAATGCAATATCTATATATAATATTAATAGAATTTTATCTATGGCATTAAAATCCATCCATTGAATGTCTTATATAAGTGCTTCACTTGCAGAAATCTTGGAGATGGATTTATTATGAAAATCTACAGGTCTTCTAACATGCTGCACTCCTTTCTGTTTTTTTATCTTTGAAGCTTATATTTCTGATCTGTTTCTCCTTTGTGCTGTATTTCTGGTACTGAATGCAGATGAATCACTCAGCTATTTTACGTAATGGAGAATAAATATGCTTGGATTATTAATCTGGAGAATGTTTGTCTCCGTGGCCTATTGCACAGGAATTAAAAATGAATTCGTAAACCTAGCTATGTTTCCTGATAATGTTACTTATTCATAAATATCTTGCACATTATAATATATGCTAGATTTAGCTTATTCTGTTAGAAAATATTTGATACTTTTTATGAAACAGTTTCATAAGAAGAATGTTAGATAAATTGAGCATATCTTAAAAGCTGTTTGAAGGTTTTGTTCAACTATACATAATTCATGTTAAAAAAAAAGTCCCCATCCAAATGTCAAGCAGTACATGTCCTATTAATGTTGAAAAATAAATTTTGTTACTGTATTCCTAATGTTTTCTTGCAACTGTTACTAACATTTTGCCATGAATTTTTGTTAATTTAACATTGTTAAAGTATATGCTATTAAAAATTATGTTTAGATAATTGTTATATAAAAATTTAAAATATAAATACCATTACCCATACTTAGGTAAATTATAATGTAATTCATAACTACAGTTAACTTTTCCAAGTCTTTTCTAACTTGGTTTGAAGAATGTAATTTGCCAGATACATGTGCTCATAAACATATTACTATTGTTATTGTTTCCCTGAATAATTGAACTGAATTCTAGTTGTACAATGGAGAAAGTTACTTCAAGGCAGAAGAAAAAAAATTATCACTTCTTAATTTTAGTTATTTTGAAGACATGTTTTTCATACACTAAGACAAAGAGGTCCTGTGAATTCTCACATGTGTCGACAAGTAAATTTTCACTTTCTCTGAAATTGACTAGTTGAAAGTTGAGCATAACTTTATTTAATCAGGTTATTTGCTAATGTCTTTAAGAAAACAAATTGCCAATGAGTTTTGCTAGTTGTGATAGTTCACACACATATCCACATGCAAACAAACATGTTCTTGTATAAAAACCAAATATGATTTAAAAAACACAAGACTGTAAAGTTTTTCTAAAGATATATGGAGAATGTAAGTATATGTGGAAACCAGTGTCTTTAGAGTAAATATAGATTTCATGGTTCATATCTAATTATATACTGGCCATAAGAATATTACATTTACCATGTATAAGCACAAAAATCCATATGAAACAAGTAGCTCATTTTCAGGTTAACCAGACGATCAACACAGGATTAAATCTGCCAAAATACATACAGATGACGTTTTAATATATTGAGTTCTCAAGTATTTTCATCAAAACACACTGAACAAAAAGAATTAATAGGAATCTTAAGTCTTATCCAGATTTTATCCTGCTAAGCTCAATATTTTATGAAATCTATAGTTTTCTATAGTGTTTTTACAAATAAAATATACATTGCATTTTAAAAGAAAAAAACTCCCATTTCTTCTATACTCTGCTACTATTCTCAAGACTTCATTTCTGACTGCAGATGTGTGGAGTTTTTTCCCAGTACCAGCTGATTCTCTGACACTGGCAGGATGTCCTACAATTCAACTCAATTCTGATACTAACTGCCTGAAGTTAGTACAGATCTCACAGGTTAAGGGCTCAATCCCACAGAAGTGCCCCCCTCACTTCAGAGGCTAGTCAGAAGTGGTAAGTCCCTGTGTTACCTACAATTTGTGACTGACTTAGCTACAAACTGGAGATTCCTACAACGACTTCCTCGGGTTTGTTAATTTGCTAGACTGGCTCACAGAACTCAGGAAAACAATTTACTTAACTAGATTATTGGTTTGTTATAAAAGGGTAAATCTCAGGAACAGCAAGATGGAAGAAATGCATAGGGCAAGTTATGGGGAAAAGGCATAGAACTTCCATGCCCTCTCTAGGCACGGCACCCTCCCACCACCTCTATGTGTTCAACAACATGAATGCTCTCCAAACTTTGTCCTTTTGGGTTATTATGGCGGCTGCATTTCATAAGCATGTTATTAAATCATTGACAAGGTATGATTAAGTCATTCTTTAAACCCTTGCCCCTCCCACTCCTAGGAGGTTAGGGGAGTAAGGCTGGAAAAGCCAACCCTCTAATCACATGATAAATTACCCTGGCAATCAGCCCCTCATCCTTAGGGGCTTTCCAAAAGTCACCTCATTAACATAAACTCAGGTGTGAAGAAAAGAGATGGGATGTGTTATGAATAACAAAAGATATTCCTTTCACCTTTATTGCTTTTACCACTTAAAAAATTCTGAGGTTTCTAAGAGCTCCATGCTAGAAACCAGGGAC
Organism: Homo sapiens; assembly: GCF_000001405.40. Classification (NCBI taxonomy): domain Eukaryota; kingdom Metazoa; phylum Chordata; class Mammalia; order Primates; family Hominidae; genus Homo; species Homo sapiens. Next base: position 62,027,380 of record NC_000006.12, on the reverse strand, counting down.
AGGGAAGAAGATCAAATATATATTTCTTACTATATCACAGTCCTACATATTTGTCTTTATATTTTCCTGATTACTTAATTTTTAAATATTAAATGCAGTTGGCACTAAGAAAATAAAGGTTACATTTTTTGCTATGGTTTTATGAATTTTATAATGATAATGTTTGTCAACACACTCTCCCCACAAAGACCACTACAATCCAGCTTTATTCCCTCACTTCCTTCAAACTACAGTCGAAACAAAGGTAGTTAGTGGGCTGCTTATTTCTAAAGTGAACAGTTATTTCTTAAGTTCCAGAGATGAATCTAAAATAAAGCAAAGACATTCTCCACATGTACAATAAGAGTTCTCGAAATGAAAAAAAAAAAGGAAATAAGAATTAAAAACCATAATTGGAATAAAATTTTCCTGGACAAAATTCAAAACTTGAAACTACATCCAAAGTATTCACCATGTATCTAGCTATACTGGCCAAAAAGTATTAGACACACTAATAAAAAAAATTAGGCTGAAAAAAGAGGATGTATGCATGCAGGCAAAATCGGGCTACCTCACCAATGGCTTTTGCCAGAGTTAGGCACATAACTTTTAAAATATGCTTAAGAAAAGATAATGTGAACCAGTAACTTTTTATTCAATCATACTAACTTTTATGCAGAAAAGCACTGGGCTTGGGGGCTCACACCTTAATCCCAATAATTTAAAAGGCTGAGGCAGGTGGATTTCAAGACCAGCTGGGGCAACATAATCATAATGAGATCTGAGCTCTGAAAAAAAAAAGTTAACCAAGCACAGTGGTGCATGCCTGTGATCCCAGTTACTTGCGAGGCTGAGGTAGGAGGACTGCTTGAGCCTGGGAGGTTGAGGCTAATGTGTGCCATTATTGTGCCTCTGCCATCCAGCCTCGACAACAGAATGAGACCTTTTCTCCAAAAAAAAAAATAATAATAATAATAATAATAAATAAAATAAAATAATTAATTAGTTAAAGAAGGAAAGAAAGAAAAGAAAATCCTTATATGATCAGTAACCTGCAAGAACTAAGGGAATATTGTATACTGTTCTCACGGTTTTTTTATGAGCAATTCACTACAGAGATCAGGTGTAATAGGCTTACTGAGTCACTTCCATTGCATATTGCCAAGTGGGGAAAGTGTTATAGAATTCTGTCATTTATATAAGAAAAGAGAAGTATAAATATTAATATAAGTAAGTAAATGGACACTTACAGCTTGAAATACCTCATCATAATAGAAGTTAAGAATAGAATTAAACCTATAGTTCTCAGGAACCAACTTGAAGTAACTCCTTCTGTTAAAAAAGACTGGGCAATTTGAATATCAATAATTTGAATACTAATAATAATCCATTTAAATGAATTAATAAATTCATTGAATTGAAACAAATATTTTTCATTCTATGAGAGAAACATACAATGTCACTTATGAGAAATACTTTTTAAAAAGTTGAATCTGAATTTAATCGAGCCTTTAGATGTAATTAAAGTTTATGTCTAAAGGAGAAGGAATATGTTAACAATGCAACAGTGAAATAATAAGCAAAAGCTGGACTGTCATGACACCACAGGAAAAAATGTCTGGGTGTCTTCTACGAGGAAAAGATATGCGAGAAAATAAATGATATTGAGGACCAACATAAAAGTTAAGAGTCTTAAGAAACTTATAAACCAACCACAGTGCGTGCACCAAATTTCAACCCTGATACTACCAAAAAAAGTATTAAAAAAAATTGGAAAAATCAATACAAACTTGTTATTTGTTGAAGCAAAAGGATTATTGTAAATTATTATGTGTGATAATGGTATTGAGGTCTTGTATTATTTAAAAAAAATTTATCCTTTATAAATACATACTGAAATAGAGATACACTTTTTTAAAATGTACATATGTAGAAGAATATTTTTATATGAAAATAAGTTAATAGTGTATATTCTAATTTAAAAAAATAAGATATTTCTTTCAGAGGTAGAAAGACACCAATATCTTTAAAGTTTTTCTCATTAAAAAATTAGGAAAAAGAATGTAGTAAGGAAGTGACGGTATAAATTTTGAAAAAATAGTGATGAAGGAAACATGAAAAATTGAAAATTTATGTTCTAAGACAATACAATGTAAATCGCCATTAACATAATATTTTTACAAAAATATGCCAAATTCAGACTGTCTCTTTGGCTGGAAAAGGATAAAAATCTGTCAAAATTAAATTTCAGTTTCATTAAGTATACTAATTTGAGAATATTGGCAAATTTAAAGAAATTTGCTATTCATTAGAGTGATTTTTCCTGATTTCTAGATATAGACATATTTAGTAATTTCAATACTTTATTGATTTTTATAAAAATAAGTTTTAATTTTACTCTTCAGTTTAATGGTTATTGTTTTGACTGTTTTATATGTTGATAAATGGAGGCAGATTCTTCTAAATTATTTGTACTGATTGTATATCCCAGATTTCTATTTGTTGTATTATTGTTACTCATGAGGACCATGATAAATACTTTTAATATACTTTAATAGGTTACTGTTACAAGAAATCCTGTAATGCTATAATAGAGACAGCATTTTCATTAAATTACAGATTACAATGAAATAGAATGATGAAAAAATAAAAGGTCAAAGCGGCAATTTTTTAGAGCCCAGATAAATTAGATTCCTTGACAAACAATTCAAGACAATGATAAAGAGAATTTAGATAACTAAACAAAATTATTTTGTTTGTAATAACACCATAAAAGATTAATGATCTCTTTTAGAAAGTTTGATAAGTCAATAAAATTATTTTATTTTCATAAATTACTATCACAATATTTTGCTTTCAAATGTATCCATGGTGAATTATTTTAATTTAAAATTTATCACTTTAAATAGGGTGAGATATGACAAAACTTTAGTAATTTATGGTTTTCAAAAATATATATGTTTAAAGAAAATTTTGTAGTGTGTGCTTCAGTTACTATGCACATGCCTGACAATAGAATGGAAAATAATGTTACAAAAAAATTTTGAAATGCATGTTTTCCAGGTGAATGTTTTAAAAATAGTGTGAATAAATGATTAAATCATATTCATTTTATCATTCTCATTCTTTTTATCTCTAAATTTCGATTTAATTATTTTGAATATTACAGTCACAAATCATTACTTAGTTATTACAGTAATATTCAGTTAGGTATACAGGCCTTAGATTTATCCAAGATGATGAATGAGTGGAGAAGAAAAACTATTATAAATTCTATTGGTAATTTTTATGAGAAAGATATTAAGATATCTTATAATAATATATTAACTCCTATTGTATACATATTTAACTTTTTTTTATATTGGGATTGAATGTTTAACAAATTATTTTGGTAGAGACTCTTGGTCAAAAATCTTAGAAAACAATGATATAATTCCATGATGATGCAAATAACTACATAGATGTTTAAAAAATGGTATAGTTTTAAATAATATGTATTATTAGGTGAAAAAAGCCTCTTGCTTTGTTTTTTTAGCAATATTTATACTTTACATAGTAAATTATTTGCGCATATCTAAGTAATTTTAGGAATAATGATTCTGTAAATATTCTCAAATGTATGGTTACAGTCTTACTCTAAATTCTTTCATATTACATATAATTTGCTGACTGAAAATTTAGTTCACATGATGATGCAAAGTGTTATGAAAACCATGAATTTGTTTTCTTTTATGTTTTTGTTTTTTATATTAGTAATTAATGTATTACATTAAATACAGTTTATCTTTAATCTCTAAGAACATTGGATATTACTCATTTAGGCATTTAAAAAACAATAGTCACAAAATTATTTTTAATAAAAATATTTCTTTCCACATAAATTATTGTTTGGGGTTATTTTCTCTTAGCTAAACAAGAAACTAGAAAAGAGAAAATGTTAATTTAGTATGAAAAATGAGGGCTAGAAAGCAAAATTGTCTGTATGATGAATTACAATGCTTTAGAGAATATCTATGCTGAAAACCAACATTAATGAAGTCCATTTGACCATGGAACCTACTGTAAGTGCCCAGCATCTGGCCTTGTTATTTTGTAATGAATCACAAAGATATATAAGCACATACTCAGGTTGTTTCTTGAGGTAGACAGATCTCCTTGGTAAATTAATATTGTTTAAAAATCTGACACACATTTTAATAAGCTGTTTTTATGGAACATTCTTACATATGGATTAGTATATAATTTTAGAAGTAAATTATCTTAATCTTACTTTGACCTCCTAGGTTTTGATGAGATTAAAACACTTGTTTTTTAAGGTATTGCGTTTTTTCTTTTTCACGTTCTAAGCTAAACATCCTTCAATATTTCCAAGGTCATACAAGCCTGCCCTTTTGTTCAAGCTTTTAAAAGTTTAATGTCTTTCCTTTATCTTAATTTTGAAGATGATAGCTTCTTGCTACTTCAATTTGAAAGCTGCTGCCAGTTTCCTGAGAGCTCTTAACATGTTTTTACTGCTTTGTGACACGGCAAATTAACAGGAAAACAACAAAAATTAAGGAATTTCACTATTGCAATAAACAAAATATTAACTCGTAAGAGAAAAATATATACTACGCACATGATATGGGATGATTACATTGATGAAATGAGAATTCAGAAATTTCTTGAAGTTGAAATTCTATTGGTCTTTGAATGTTTTTTATGGTAAGTTTGAAACTAAAAACTGAGATAATAGCCCAAAGAGGGAGCTCATGAATTTCATCAGGATGAAATTAACAATAGAAAAGAATTCTAATGAAAAGTTGGAAATAAAAATTAAGCAACATATAAACAATTATCTCAATTGTCATTATAAACTTAGTTGTCTTTTTAGGATATAGTACACAAATAATTTGCCCAGAATTTCTTCACCTAGTAAGATGGCCAATACAGTATGTTAACCTGTGGTTACTGAGAAATTGAAACACAGAAAACACACTCTCCAGTTTTACCATTTTGATACACAGACAGGTTGGTTAACTCATACAGGTCTACAGCCTTTGGGAAACCTCAGGATGCTTCATGATATGATAAATTCCCAATGCAATTGGCTAAACATTTTTACTTCATAAATTACATTTTTACTTCATAACATTAAACATTTTTACTTTTAACATTTTTACTTCTTTATTTAAACATTTTTAATTCATAAGGAAACATTTTTTTACTTTTAATTAAACATGTTTACTTAATAAGGAAAAATTTGTTTTCCAACCCCGAGGGATAATCTACTTTCAATGTTAAATCCTAACAATTATCAAGAGCTTTCCTAATACTTGATCTAGCATTTGGAAAACTTTGTTCTCCCCTACAGAATATATATATATATATAGTGTTTGTGTGTGTGTATATATATATAGTGTGTGTATATATAATATATATAGTGTGTGTATATATGTACAGTGTATATGTATATAGTGTGTATATATATATATATACACAAAAAACCTTTTTTCACAAAGCATATTTACCCGTAGTCTCTTTAAATTTTGAAAAAAGACATCAAATTTTCTTACAATTAATTAGTCTCTAAAGTCAGTAGAAAAATGTGTGAGGCAATTTGTCCTTTTAAAGAATTAGTTTGCAAAAGTGAAAGATTATCCTTTAATATTTATATCATGTTATTCAGAAATCCAAATTTCAAAAGGGTATCAAAAGATCTTTGATTTTCCTGGGCAAAATAGAGTGACACATTTTATCTTAAGAATATAATTAAGAATAACTAGATAACATAAACCTTGGTCCCTGGGTTTCATTACCTTCCAGAAATGAGATTCTACTATGTCACCAGGACATAGACTCTGACAGTATGGCCAAAAGAACTTATATATGTAAAATGATCAGAAGAACTTACAAGTGTAAAAAGAGGACTGTCAGAATGGATAAAAACACACACAAGACCCAACTGTATGATACTGCAAGAAACACACATTTTTATTTTTATTTTTTTAACTTTTAAGTCCAAGGGTACATGTGCAGGTTTGTTATATAGGTAAACCTGTGTCATGGGAATTTGTTGTACATATTGTTTTGTCACCCAGCTATTAAGCCTATTACCCATTCATTATTTTTTCTGAATCTCTCCCTCCTCCCACCCTCCATCCTCTTTTAGACCCCAATGTCTTTTGTTCTCCTGTATGTGTCCATGTGTTCTCATCATTTAGCTCCCACTAAGTGGGAATATGTGGTATTTGGATTTAATAATAAGTGGGAATAGGCGGTATTTGGATTTCTGTTCTTGTCGTTTTGCTAAGGATAATGGCCTCCAGCTCCATCCATTTTCCTGAAAAGGACACGATCTCATTCTTTTCCATGGGTGCATAATATTTCATGGTTTATATGTACCATAGTTTCTTTATACAGTCTAACATTGATGAACATTTAGGTTGATTCCATGTGTTTGCTATTGTGAATAGTGCTGCAATGCACATATGCATGCATTTGTCTTTATGATACAACGGTTTGTATTATTTTGGGTGTATATCCAGTAATGGGATAGCCGGATCAAGTTCTGTTTTAAGCCTCTGAGATGCACACTTGAAATTTAACAAATAGTTAAAAGTGAAAACATGGGAAAAGATTTGATAACACCAATCAACAGGAAGCTGGGGTGACCATATTTATATCAGATAACTTAGATTTCAGATAAAAGAATAGTATCAAGGTTAAAGGTGGTCTTTTAAATGTTAAGGGGTCAGTTGATAAATAAAATATAAAAATTATAAAGTTTACGCACATAAAGACAGCCACAAAGTACATGAAGCAAAAACTGTCAAAAGTGCATTAATAAATAGACATATCCACAGTTATAGCTGAGAAATGCCCTCCATCAGTAAATTATAGATCATGTAGACAATCATTAAGGATAGAGAAGAGTTGAACAATATTTTCAACCAAACTGAGTTAATTGACATTTATAGACAATACCCCACACTCCAAACAATAGCAGAATATACATTCTTTTCTCAAGTGCACATAGAACATTTAGTATACCACATTCTGGGTGATAAAACAGCTATCAATAAATTAATAAGGATGGAAGTGTTAAAAGGATATTGTCTGACCACATAAATTAGGAATCAATAAGCAAATAAATATGTTACCTCTGGAAAATAATACCTCTGGAAAAATAATACCTCTGGAAAAATTCCCAAATATTTGGCAATTAAATAGTACACTTCTAAATAATCCATAAGTTTAAGAAGAAAAGGACTATAGGCATTATTTTTAACTGAATGAATATGAACATATAACATATCAGAATACAATAAATGCCACTAAATCAAATTTAGGTGGAACTTCATAGCATTAAACATATACTTTATGTAAGAAGAAATGTAAAATCGATGACCTCAACTTCCACCTTAAAATTAGGAAAAGAAGACCAAATTAAGTATAAAATAAAGAAAAGAAAAGAAATAATAAAGATCAGATTGAACATAAATAAAATACAAAACAAAAATAATGATGAATAAAAATTCTTGTTCTTGGAGAAAATCAACAAAATTGATAAACCTGCAGCTAGATTAATCAAGAAAAAAAAGAGAAAAATAAATTCTCAATATCAAGAATGAGAAAGATGACATTACCATGGATTTAGCAGATATAAAAAGAAAAGCAAGTAAAATTATGAGCAGCTTTATGTCAGTACCTTCTACAGATTATATGAAATAGAAAATGTTTAAAAAATATTTGAACTATCAAAGTTTATTTAAGAAGAAATAGTCTGACATCCCTTTACCAAAGAATTATATTTTGTACTAAGAAGCCTTCCGCAAACAAACTCCATGCCAAATGTCTTCAGTGGTGAATTCTACCAGCCAATTAAGGAAGATATAATACCAATTCTACACAAGATATACCAGAATATTAAAGAGGAAAGAATTATTTCCCAGTTCATTCTATGATGCCAGCATTGCCCTGATACCAAAATCAGAAAAGGACATTATAAAACACATAGAAAAATAAAAATAAAAACTATATGATAATCTCAATTGATTCATGAAAAGTACTTGGTAAAATCCAAAAACCATTTTTAATAAAAATATTCTCAGTAAAATTGGAATAGATGTAAGCTTCTGCAAACTTGTAAGAGCATTTATGCAAAACCTGCAGTTAACATTATACTTAATTTTATTAGTACTTACTAATACTACTAATACGAATTTTATTAGTACTTATTCTAAAAATAAACCTAACTAAAATTCTAGTGCTCAGTTCCACCAGAAACATCAGAGTTATTAAATGAAAATAGATGCTATTCCAGATCAGTGCCTTCAACGACTAAAATGTGATTCACCTTATAATGGATTATTTGTTACTATCTATTTAACATAAATTAGCTTATTGTGTCTTCATTTTAAAGTTCACTAGTGTCAGAGATAAAATTCTTTTCAATTTTAAAAAAGAATATATGTATAACTAATAACATTAGAAAAATTATGTGCACATGGTCAGAATATAACTCAGCAGCCTAACAAAGTATATTATTAAAACAATTATTAGATAATAGTAAAGTAAGTGAATTTCAATCTTTTTAAAATCTGTACTATTTAATGGGAAAATCAGTAAATGATATAAAAATATTTTTGTAATGAGAAAGTTTTAAAGTAATCTCAAATTAATAACGGATTTTTCTCTTGTCTACTCAGTCTTATGTCCATGAGTCTTCTGTTGGTATCCTGGGATAGTTTGGCTTGCTCCTTTTTAGTAATATTGGGCCGGGCGCGGTGGCTCACGCCTGTAATCCCAGCACTTTGGGAGGCCAAGGCGCGCGGATCACGAGGTCAGGATATCGAGATCATCCTGGCTAATCGGTGAAACCCCGTCTCTACTAAAAATACAAAAATTAGCCGGGCGTGGTGGCAGGCGCCTGTAGTCCCAGCTACTCCGGAGGCTGAGACAGGAGAATGGCGTGAAACTGGGAGGCGGAGCTTGCGGTGAGTTCGTGCCACTACACTCCGGCCTGGTTTTGATAACTGATGACTTTGATAAAAAATATTTGGGTGAGAAGGAAATAAGGACACACACACACACACACACACACACACACACACACACACATATATATATATAGTGTGTGAATATACACATATATAGTATAAATACCTATTTATACATTTAGATGTATATTTACGTAAATATAAGAATATTTGTATATTTTTATATTTGTATATTTTGAGACGGAGCAAGACTCCGTCTCAAAAAAAAAAGTAGTAATATTTATAGCAGAAATGGTAACGGTAATATGTATGTTAAGTGTTAGCTATTATTGTTCTTTTATTACCATTATAAGTACTAATTTTAGTAGTACTTATTTATACTACTAATACTTATTAATTCTAAAAATGTAAATCCTAATAAGTTCTAATGGCACATGATTAATGGAATCATGTGTCTTCGGTAACTTGCAGTGGAGAATAAATTTTTTATATCAAATTGATGTATGAAAAATTGAAGCAAATTGATGTATTAAAAATTGCTCTTTGTTCTCCACAATTATGTAATTCAAATCAAAGTAATAATTGAACATCCTTACACTTGGGATGTGTGTGCTATTTTGCCACTTACTTATACTTTAGAATGAAAAATATTACAATCTAAATTGTTATCCAAAATTACAGTTCTAAATTAAGTTTAGAGCAGTTTAGCTCTAGATCTCTGAACACTACATTATTGCAAATTTCAATACTAATTTCTATGGGTTTTTCTTTTGGTAAAATGGGGAAAAAAGATCATCTCATTTTGTTATTTAATTTATGCCACTCATGAAGATAGTAGTAGGTATCATCTCATCAGAATACAACATTTTTTAAGAGTTTTTCATAGGATAGTTTCTTTTTCAGAGTTTTGAAGAGTCAGTTCAAAGACAATAAATGGGTAGCATTATTTTTTTCTCATATAACAACCCTATTAGTTTGCAATTTGAGGATTGATTTTTAAAAAGATAATTATTTCAGATCATATTTCACTGATGAACTTTTGTGTTTGTCATTACTATTTTATGATACATGTTTCTTTTATTACTCCTCTTATAGGATTTTATCATGTTCTGGTGGCAAGTCTAAATATTCCATCATGTCATTTAATCAATTCCTGTCTAAAGCAATTTTTACCTTCCTACAATGATACCAGAGTGCTACTGAAAACACCATGTCATGTGACCCTAGGCACAGCCTCCTATAGGTGTGGTCCATCAATCTGAAGATTAGGAAGAAAGAACGTAGTATATATTATTGAGTTTTGTGTTTTTGTGTTTGTTTGGTTCATTTGATATACCTTATAAAACAAAACCAGCGATGAGGAAGTGAGATGAGAGAAAAAATTTATTTAATTAAAAAAGAAAAACAGATTGATTCTACCAATACAGGGCATTTCTTTTCACTTGATTATTTTGTTTTGATTTGCTGAATATTTTTTTAGTGTGTATTGCATTCTTTTAAATGGTAAAATTTAAATAAGAGAAACAAAGGGTTTACTGACTTTATATAATATTGAGATGGGACACCCTACCTTTGAAGAAGTAATGTTATAGCATGGCTGACATTTAATGGAAGCTCAGTTATGGCCACTGTTTATGACCAGCATCTCTTTGGATTGCTCAGTGTCCAGTGATGTTAGGTCTGTACACATTGCTAATTGATCATTACCCATCTGTACCAGATCTTAAATACTTTAAATGTCACTCTCGATCAGACTATATATAAAATAAGATTATATATAATATTAATATCCAAGTATATATATTATACCTATGTGTACTACATATTATATAAATGTATTTATATACAAATATTCTTATATTTATATAAATATACTTATACATCTAAATGTATAAATAGGTATTTATATTATCTATGTGTATATCCACACTATATATATATACATATGTGTATATGTTTCCTTATTTCCTTCTCACCCAAATATTTTACTAAACTTTTATCAAAGTCAACAGTTATCAAGTATTTTCGGAACACTTATTGTATAGTCATTTATATACTGAATGTTCTTGTATTTCTGCTAGTATGACTAGAAGTAAATTTTCTGTACTAGATAAGGATACAAGCAATTCAGTCTCACAAATTATTTCTAAAAATTATTACATGTGATGAAACTTTTGAGATTGGTTTATTTGGATCCTACCTCATTCTACTATTAAATATATCCTGGGGTCTAAAGGTGAAATTCCCAAGTATAAGCTTATAGAACCACTAGAAACTAAAATATCCATGGGAAAAAAAGTGAAAGAAAAAGGAAAGAGCCTTTTTGAGAAGGACTCTTTAGTTTTCATAATTTGTGTTCTTTTTTTCTGGGTCTAATTAATGATTGATTTAGAAACATACTTGAAAGTCTAAACCTGGATGAACAAGCTTGAGGGTTCAGAAGGAAGGCTAATGACTATAAGTATAAATGGCACCATCTCTCTTTGCTGACACTGGAATAAAATTATTGAAATTATCAGAGCAGGAAGGAAAATCTTCAAACAATTTAACCTTTGTGATTCAAGAGGGAATGCTAATTGTACTTTCCTAAGAGAAATGCAGAAATAACATGAAATCCATCTAATTTTCTGATCTGTGGATAATAATTCTGGCTTTCATCAGTAGGACTGGAAAATGTAAACCCTTTATCTTTTCAAACATTTTATATCTATATGGAACTGTTGTTTTTGCCATCTCTGCAGACTGCTTTGTGTATCTCTGAGTATCTAACCATGAAACTAGAGGTGGAGTTAGTGAGTAGAAACAAAGCTTTTCGGTTTTTGTCTGGAGCTCTGGAAATTGTCAGTGTGCTAAAAGAAGGATCAGGGGACTTTTAGATGGAGGGCTGATCATGAACTAGACCATTTTTGGTTAAGATGTTTTTACTAGAGGAATATAGACTACATAGTACTGCCTAAGGTAAAGAGTGGCAGGGTGTGAAAATACTGCAGCAGTCAGAAAGCATGCACCTGCATCTCCACCACTTTTCCCTTACATCTTATAAAGCCAAGAGCAGCAGGACATGGGTTCTGGGCTGGGCTCTAGCTCTTTCAAACAATATGAACTTTAATAAAACTTTTAACATTATTAGACTTCAGTGTCTTTATCTGTAAAAATCAAATTGTATAAATAGAAAATTCCTCTAACTCTGTTATGTCATATGTACTTTATGTGTGTATTAATCTATAAGTATACTACCTTAAAATATCATTGAACCAGTGATATAATGATGATTCAATTATGTAAATTTCAAAGGTGAAAAAAGAGATAACAATTACTTTTCAATGTGTCCCTTGTTGCATTAACATTCAGACAACCAGCCCTAATCTCAATTACTGATTATGATTTGTCCTCATAAATGTTTCTAGCCTTTCCTTGAATACCTTCCACGTATGGTTTGCCAAGGTAAAAAAATCCACATAAGAAAACCAAAGCTAGGAAAATATATTTGCAGATATATCTTTGTGTATTAAGAATCTTCCTAAACGAAACCACATTCTTATTATTTTCTTATATCATGTAATTATTTTCTTATGTAATGTAATTTATCAAATATATGACAAGTTGTCAAAAATAGTAACATTCCCATGAAAATATTTCATGTGCTGTATGACTAGACAGAAGTAAGATACAGGATGTTCCATTTAGGAAAGATATAACTCTAGAATCTAAATTAAGTGTTGAATATTATTTAAGAGAAATTATTCAGTTAATCTTTATTTTGTTAGTAAAATTATTTGGATTTCATGTTGCTTAAATAATAATTTTAGGTCTTTCATTACTATATGAATTGAATTATTTTTTGTCATTTATTCTGACACTTGTACTGTAGCTAGCCAGTAGGGTCATACAGTGTTCAAAAGAAATCAGAGACAGCAATTTGTTATGTTTATACTTTCAGGAAACTTACCTGTTACTTACTTATTCATAAACAATTTTGAACCAGCATTTTGACAAATTGTGGGAGTCCTTTGATAAACTAAATCCTCAATCAAAAGATTGGGTTTTAAAAACCAGAAAGAAAACACTTTTTTATCCCTAAGAGGACATAAAGCAAGATCTTCCAGAACATTTATCCTTTATTTATGAGAAACTATAAGAAAGAAAATTTAAATGTAATTGATTCTTATCAAAGACATTTGAAACTAATATATTGTAGACTGAAAAAATTTAGAAGAACTCATTGAGAGTAGATATACCACCTAAGAATTAGATGGAGAATAACTAATTTTATTAAAATATGTTTGCAATTAGTACATACACCACACATTTAATCTCATGTTTTAACAATATTTTCTTAGAAATATTAATCAGTGTCATTCATACTCTCTGCAACAATCCACTTAGTTTTCAGACCTGTCAATCAAAACTCTGTAGTGACACTCTCGTCACACATAACTGCTTTGTAACCTAGGAAACGAACATGGTACAGAACTGTGGAGCAGGGAACATCTCTTTCCTTCCTGTGGTTGCTAGCACCTCTTTGACTTAATTCTGCTATTTAAACCGTTCTGCGATTTGCCACATCAGTGATCTTTACTGAAGTGTTTATGTCATCGGGTTCCAGAAACACAGAGGTATTAACATTAATGGTGATACTGTGGGAATGGTGTCTGGTGTGAGGCAACGCACTGCCAAAGGATAGCAGTAACCTCACTGAGTTACTGTAAGGACGGATGCCTGTAAAGGCATGGCTAACATAGCGTTTCCAAAAGCACATAGAACAGTGTCTGACTGAGTGTTAGTTCATAATAATCCTCAACTTGCCTCATTTTTATAATAATAATGTAATAATAGTAATTTAAATAAAATTGATTTTGCTATGATTTTACATTGTACTAAACACATTTTTGATATTATAATTATTAAAATTTTGCTAAAATCAAATAATAAAATTCTATTATTTTAAATGAAAGAGGCCAAAATGTTGAAGATGTAAAATAAAATTTTGTTTCCATTTCAGTTTGATCAACTTATATCAGTAAATTTTAATTGATACATTTAAGGTCTATTTGAAATAATTTAAGTACCTTATCATTTATTATTTTTCAAATGGACTCAAATTTAGGAATAATTTTTCAATAAATTCTATTCATGTTTATAACTAGGTACACATCATATTTTCTAGCTTTGGTTTGTGCCTTATAGCTTTCCATACTGCTATCTAGAAGTATGAATAAAATGCTCATAACTTTCCAACTGATTAAAGTTTCTTAGAAATCTTGTCAATTAACATGGGCTCCATAGGATCTCATTTGAATTCCAAAGAAATCAAAGTCCTCCTTTTAATTTTGCAACCAGACTATATTTTTACAGTGAAGAAGCTATTCAATTTCTAGGAGCACAATGCATGACGTGATCCTCCTCTCAGTGTCACTGCAGTTCCCAGTCCTTCTTCCACAACACCATATGTTCATTTCCTAGTTGCTGGAGATATTGCCTGAACAAGACAAACATCTCTGCTTTCACTAAACTTAAATTTTCTTTGGGAGTACAGTGGAAGTGAAAGAAAATAGATAAGCAAGCAAACAGGAAAATGCCTCAGGTTGTGAGTAGTGCTATGTATGTTACTAAAATGCTTCCGTGTGATAGGAATGCCTGGTTGGCTGATGTAGTTAGAGTAGTCAAGAAAGACCTCTCTGAGATAGTGGCAATGAAGCTGAGGTACTAAGCTGAATCACAAAAAGCCAGCCATGTGAGGGTCAGAAGTGCACTCTAGGTGGTGGGAAGAGTGAATGCAAAGACCAAAAGGAAGGCACTTGCTTGGTGTGTTTGGAGGACTTTAACTAAGTTTCCTTGAATATAAAGGATAAGTAGAAAAGTGTCACAAGATGAGGTCAGTGGTATCTAGATAAAATAGGCCGTTTAAGCCAGAAAGAAGCGTTTGGATTTTACTCCAAGTGAAATAGAAAGGACTTGAAGTGAATTCTATTTATATTTTAAAAACACAGCTTTCTCCTGTTTAGTGGAAAAGGATTGTGGATGAGTAAGAGTGGATACAGGGTAACTTGTTAGGAAATTGCTACAGTGGACAAGCAAGATATGCTAGTGACTTGGACTAGAAGCCTAGAACTCTAAAAAAGAGAGAAGTGCATGATTTTGGAATGTGTTTTGAGATCAGAATCTGCAGGACTTACTGATAGCTGAGGTATAGTTAATGAGGAAGAGTGAATAATCAAGATTACTCTTGGACTCTGGAGGAAACATGAACAATTGCTGTCAGGTAGGTTTGTACTGGTAAAGTTTAGTTTTAGCTGTCTTGCTGACTTCCACATGGACTCGTCAAGAAGGGGATTGTTATATGAGTAAAGATCTGGGGAGAAGTCAGTACCTGGGTTCAAATCAAGAAACATTTGTAAGATGTCATTTTTTATTTGCTTACTTTGTGTAAATAACCCTACCACTTTTTTCTTGTGTATGTAAATATGCCCCTAAATCTGTTCCTAAGTCACTTAAAATCTGTGCTACTCTTAAAAAACAGTTTTAACACCTTTAACCTGTTTGTTGAACTTGTTTTCCTATAGTACATTTGAGAAAATTTATAATAAAGTGAACGTGAATGAAAAACTAAAATAGTAATAATGATACATAGCTTACATTGAGCACTTAGTATGTGTCAAGAATTCCTACAAATGCTTTCAGAGGTCTGTTACCAAAATTAGTCACAAAAATCATAAAAAAACTACCAATAAAAATAAGAAATCAAGACCTTAGAAATAAGGAAGGAGCAAATGGGCTAGCCAAGAGTATTAATGGTATCACTGTCATTGATCCCGGTGTGAAAGTAGATACCGTCTAATGCATTTGACATAAATCTTGAGGTTAATATGGAGAAAACATACTAGTTTTTCAAAGGAGACAAATATTGTCCTAGTACTATTAATGAAATGATTTTCCACAAATCATGTTATTTAGGCAGTATTGAGTTATGGAATTTACCTGTATTGCCATATTTCATTCATTGTAATGTGAATATTTTTCACATTTCTACATCATTGTTTACTTTCGGTTTTTATTTTCGTGTGCAATGTGTTATTGCTTTCTAGTGTTGATTCACAGTAGAATTTACATTTGTAAATACTTTTACTTGACTTTTTCATGACAGGTTTTGTCAACACTATCAGAGAAATGATAGAACTCATTTCTACCTCATTCATTCCAAATTCTAGGTGCTCCTTGAGTTTTAGCATGTGTAATTCTGAATGGAAGGCAAAACCTTAAGATGAATTCTAATAATTTCTTTCACACCAACCTGTTTGTACGTTTTTAGACATATATATAAGTCATCAAAATGTTCCTGACATTATAAGCCTCACTATTATTTAATAATAACCTCTTCATTAGAAACCACAAAGTGAAGATCTGTGCAGGAATAAAAAACAAAACAAAACACTTTAAAGTAAAATCTCTGAAATAAGAGGGACAAATGTTTATTTTTTTAATACAGGAGGTGGAATGTTTGGGCCCTAATTTTATTTGCTGATAGGTTTTTCTTTATTATTTTTAGAAAGGTGAATTTTTAAAAAGTAAACATTTTGGATAGGAATTGGGTAATTAACAGTTTAAAAAAGCAGGTTTCATTAAAATATTTAACAGATGAGGTTTTTTTAAACTATTACAATCGTGGTGGAAGGCAAGGAGGAGCAAATCACATCTTATGTGGATGGCAGCAGGCAAAGAGAGTTTGTGCATGGCAACTCCCATTTTTAAAACCATCAGACCCATTTATTATCACAAGAACAGCCTGGGAAAGACCCACTCCCATAATTCAGTCATCTCCCACTGGGTCCCTCCCACAACACATCGCAATTATGGGAGCTGTAAGATGAGATTTGGGTGGGGACACAGAGCTAGACCATATTATTCCACCCCTGGTCCCTTCCAAATCTCATGTCCTCACATTTCAAAACCAATCATGCCTTCCCAACAGTCCCCCAAAGTCTCAACTCTTTTCAGCATTAACTCAAAAGTCCACAGTCCAAAGTCTCATCCAAGACAAGGCAAGTCCCTTCCACCTATGAGCCTGTAAAATCAAAAGCAAGTTAGTTACTTAATAGATACAATGGGGGAGCAGGCATTCCAAATGGGAGAAATTGGCCAAAACAAAGGTGCTACAGGCTTCATGCAAGTCTAAAATCCAGCAGGGTAGTCAAATCTTTAAGCTCCAAAATGATTTCCTTTGACTCACTCCATGTCTCACATCCAGGTCACGCTGTTGCAAGAGATAGGTTCCTGTAGTCTTGGTCAGCTCCGTCCTTGTGGCTTTGCAGGGTACAACCTCCCTCCAGGCTGCCTTCATGGGCTGGCATTGAGTGTCTACCACTTTTCCAGGCTCATGGTACAAGCTGTCAATGGACCTACCATTCTGGGATCTGGAGGACGGTGGCCCTGTTCTCATAGCTCCACTAGGCAGTACCCCAGTGAGGACTCTGTATGGGGGCTCCAACCCCACGCTTCCCTTCTGCAGTGCCCTAGCAGAGCTTCTACATGAGGACCCTGCCCCTACAGCAAACTCCTGCCTGGATATCCTGCATTTTCATACATCTCCTGAAATGTTGGTGGAGGTTTCCAAATCTCATTCCTTGACTTCCGTGCACTTGCAGGCCCAACACCACATGGAAGCTGCCAAGGCTTGAGGGTTGCACCTTTTGAAGCCATGACCTGAGCTCTACTTTGACCCCTTTCAGCCACAGCTGGAGTGGCAGGGACACAGGGCAACAAGTCTCTTGACTGCACACAGCTTGGGGACCCTGGGCCTGGCCCACAAAACCACTTTTCCTCCTAGGCCTCTGGGCCTGTGATGGGAGCGGCTGCCATGAAGATCTCAGACATGCCCTGGAGACATTTTCCTCATTGTCTTGGTGATTAACATTCGGCTCCTCATTACTTATGCAATTTCTGCAGTGGGCTTGGATTTCTCCTCAGAAAATGGGATTTTCTTTTCTATCACATTGTCAAGCTCCAACTATTCCAAACTTTTATGCTCTGTTTCTCTTTTGAAATTGAATGCCTTTAACAGTACCCAACTCACCTCTTGAATGCTTTGCTGATTAGAAATTTCTTCCAACTGATACCCTAAATCATTTCTCTCAAGTTCAAAGTTCCACAAATCTCTAGGGCAGGGGCAAAATGCCACCAGTCTCTTTGCTAAAAACATAACGAGAGTCACCTTTACTCCAGTTCCCAACAAGTTCCTCATCTCCATCTGAGACCACCTCAGACTGGATTTCATTGTCCATATTTTTATCGGCATTTTGGTCAAAGCCATTCAACAAGTCTCTAGGGAGTTCCAAACTCTCCCACATTTTCCTTTCTTCCTCTGAACCCTTCAACCTGTTCCAACCTCTGCCTGTTACCCATTTCCAAAGTCACTTCCACATTTTCAGGTATCTTTTCAGCTGTACCCCACTCTACTGGCACCAATTTACTCTATTAGCCCGTTTTCACACTACTGATAAAGACATACCTGAGACTGGGCAATTTACAAAAAAAAGAAGTTTATTGGACTTACAGTTCCACGTGGCTGGGGAGGCCTCACAATCATGTTGGAAGGCAAGGAGGAGCAAGTCACATCTTACACAGATGGCAGCAGGCAAAGAGAGAACTTGTGCAGAGCAACTTCTCTTTTTAAAACCACCAGATCTTGTGAGGCCCATTCAATATCATGAGAACAGCATGGGAAAGACCCACCCCCATAGTTCAATCATCTCCCATGGGGTTCCTCCCACAACACATGGGAATTATGGGAGCTAAAAGATGAGATGTGCATGGGGACACAGAGCCAAATCATATCAAGGGGATCACTGTTTGATAATTCCATCCCCAAAATTAGCTTGTATATACACCACTTAGGAGTGGAATCCTGTATTGATTATACTTCAAATCTGTAGACTTGTAATAAGGATAATCATAGCCATCATAGTTAACTATTGAGCATTATTCTAAAAGTTATGTACATATATATTTTATTCCTCACAAAATTTCAATGAGACATTTACTATTACTGTCCTCATTTTCATAAGGACATTAGAATAAAACATATAACATAAATTACTGACTGTCACATGACTAGGAAAAAAGAGTCTTTTGTTTAGGTTTAAAAAAAAATTCCTCTCATGTGACAAAACCCTAAGCACTTGGTACTTTTTAAAAATACCGTACTGAGGCAGGTTATATCCAGCTGCAAATCTGCATTTTATTTGCTTAACTGACCCTGAATGCAAGCATTATTTCTTCCTTAATGAGAACTTTTGTGATTCATCCAACAGTAAAATTGTGTGGTGTTTTAATCAGGAATATGTTACCTTTTCTGCTTTTTAATTTGTGAAGCTCCATTTCTACATACAGTCAATGCTTGGCATTTTTTAACATATGAAATTCATTTTGTATATCATTTTTTATCTTTATCTTGTATATTCAGAAATCAATTTGTACTTGATATTTTCTATACTTTTGCAGGTTATCTCTACCATATTTTGCCATTTTACAGTAGAGATGCACAACATATGTGTTCTAGTTTATTGTTTCTACAGCATCAAATACGCCTTTATAAATATATCATAGATATGAAGACATAAAGCAGCAGGTTTGGGGTTTTTTTGACTTATGGTACTGAAGAATTGACTTTGTGAAAAGCCTCCTCGTTGACTATACATCTATTTTTCAGCCACTAAATTTCTTCTTGTGAATTTTAGTTGATATTCCCTAAAGAGGCATATGTGTGGTATATATTTATTCCTTACCTTCAAAGCTGTGTGTTTTAATGGTTTTCTTCAGAATATTAATTATACATTTAGTTTCACTTACTTTTTTAAGACACAATAATTAATTAAACAGATTAAAGTTTGCATGATAATTAAGCATAAATAAAAATGTGGTCTGTGTCATCAGTTTTCATACACCCGATTAGGCAGAGAAGTAAATTCATGCATTTTATAAAAAACAGTTAAAGCCTATGTATGACAAAAGAAAAAAAAAAACATCAAAATGTAAAAGAGCTTTAACCAACAAAGTAATCTCTCATAGCCACTTTGGATAATCATGGCAGAGTAAAGGTCCTCAGAACTGGACCTTTACTGGACAACAAACTGTTTAAACAGAAAACTTATTTAAAGGTGTTGAAAAGTAATAAAGGTTAAGCAGAAGATGGAACTTCTGCTTAATGGAAGACTCTGGAGAAATGGAAGAGGCTTAATTTTTGAAAAAGTACAACTGGATTGGGAAATATTTGTTTTTCTTTAGCTTTTTGTTTGACGAGCCTTCCCAACCCTTGTGGTTATAATGGGAGCAGAAACATGAAAGGTAGCCTGTCTGATCACAGAAGCAATGTCCAGTTTGTCTTACATGTAGATGTATGTACACACACACATACGTACAAGTTTTATTTTGGTTAATATTGCCTGTCATGACCTGAAATTTTTTTAACTTTCAGTACATTTGAATTTCAGAACAGTAAGCTGAATTTAAAAAAAATTTATCTAATAACTCCTGCCTTATATTTTGAGGCTTTATTTTATTTATGTTTATTGATATATTTTGATGATTCCACCATCATCCTTTGATATCTATAATTTGCTTTATTATTTTTTCTTGTTTTGTCTTCTTTTAAATTAATGGAAATTTACTATTTAATTTTTCTGTATATATGTTTGAAAGTTATACATTCTATATTATACTTTATTAGTTACCTTTAAAACGTTTACTATGGTCTTGTATAGGATAAAGCGGATCAGTATTTTTATTTCACCCATGAGCAATAGAAGAATTGAAGATACTTTATTATTGTTAGCTGAATCTAAATGTTATGATTTTCAGTATTTTAGCTGTGTGTGTGTTCTAAGCCATGTTTAGTTGTTATTTTTATATAGTCTCTGATTAGATGTATCACTGTGCTTATGAATTTCTTTGCTCATTCTACCTTCAGCTCTGACCTTCATTTTTATTTGATTTATTCCTTCTTGAAATACTTTTTTAGCAATTTCTTTGGAGAAAATGACATTTAGTTTTATTTACCTGAAAATGTTTGTCTTGCTCTTTGTCTTACAAGATTCATTTTTGCATATATAACTTTAGATTGGCAGTGTTTTACTCTCAGAATTTCAAATTTATTACTACATTTCTTTTTGTCTTCCATTGTTGCCTTTAAGAAGTCTGTGTCAGTCTCTGTAGTTCATGCATAGTCCATCCTTTTTAGAGGTTTTCTTTGCTGTTTTACAGTTGTATTACTGTATTGTCTAGAGTGAAATATTACAAATTTATCCTGCACGAGATTTATTCTGATTCTTGACTCATTTTTTAGAGATTCTCAGCCCATAGAATATTTTGTTTTCTCAATTCTGTTTTCTACATTGGAGGCTGCTATGGAAAATATGTTAAACAGTCTTATTGCATATTCCATTTCTTAATATTGCTTTCAAATTTTTCGTCTCCTTGTATCTCTGTGTTGCATTTGGTATAATTTCGTCAATGTTAGTAATCGCTTAAACTGTGTATTATCTCAAGATTGGTTAATCTATTGAATTTTATATATTTTACTGGTTTTGCTATTTTCATTTCAGCAAGCTCTATTTAGTGGTTTTGATATCTGCTTTATCATTTTTTATTTTTATTTCATAACTATAGGTTTTTTATTTGCATGATTTACAGTTAGAACTTTATAAATATATTGTTATTTTATATTCTTTATTCACAATTTCAAGTTCCAAAGACTTCAGTTTTTATACTATTTGATTTTTTTTTCATACTCACTTGCAAAAGCTTATTTTTTTAGTGTTACTATTATTTAAATGAATTTGATTTTTGGTCCCTAAAGACTTTCCTTTCTCTTTTGTAAGTCTATAAATGTACTGAAAGTTATGCTTGTTGTAATTTCTACAAGGGAAATTCATATTCTAGGAGATAGCTCTCTGAAATATCTAATCTTTTCTATTATTAAAGCATATTTAAATAATTTGATTTTATTTTCTTATAGTACAAATAAATTTTTTTAATTGGAGAGTGTTGCAGTGGCTTCAAAATAATGATGACAGGAATAGAAATAGCAAACAACAAAAAATAACAAGGTTAATAATAACATCTTTTCATGTCAGTTATATTTTAGTTATAAATAAAATCAGTTATGTATCTGAATTTTCCTTTGAAGTAGGTAGTTTGCAAGTGTTACTTTGCTGATGAGGAAGAGGAGTGGATTGAAAAATCACTTACTGTTGTGGCAGACATAACTCAACTGATTAATGACCATTAATATGATATATACACCAAGAACATCAAGAGATTGTAATCAGAACTTCAAATCTCTTAAATGAACTCTAAAAATGAAGTGTTTAGCCTTTGTTTAAATTAAAGGAAAAGACAACTAGGATTCTCAATCATGAAGTTCCATCAATACCTACTTTATTGAGACTTCTTAGCATGAACAGCTGTTGAATTTTGTCGAAGGCCTTTTCTGCATCTGTTGAGAAAATCATGTGGTTTTTGTCTTTGGTTCTGTTTATGTGATGGATTACGTTTATTGATTTGTGTATGTTGAACCAGCCTTTAATCCCAGGGATGAAGCCAACTTGATCTTGGTGGATAAGCTTTTTGATGTGTTGCCAGATTCGGTTTGCCAGTATTTTATTGAGGATTTTTGCATCAATGTTCATCAGGGATATTGGTCTAAAATTCTCTTTTTTTGTTGTTGTGCCTCTGCCAGGCTTTGGTATCAGTATGATGCTGGCCTCATAAAATGAGTTAGGGAGGATTCCCTCTTTTTCTATTGATTGGAACAGTTTCAGAAGGAATGGTACCAGCTCCTCTTTGTACCTCTGGTAGAATTCGGCTGTGAATCCGTCTGGTCATGGAGTTTTTTTGGTTGGAAGACTATTAATTATTGCCTCAATTTTAAAGTCTGTTATTGGTCTATTCAGGGATTCAATGTCTTCCTGGTTTAGGAAGGTGTATTAGGAGGGTGTATGTCTCCAGGAATTTATCCATTTCTTCTAGATTTTCTAGCTTATTTGCGAAGAGGTGTTTATAGTATTATCTGATGGTAGTTTGTATTTCTGTGGGATGGGTGGTGA